>NC_000005.10:180425139-180575585 GCF_000001405.40 Homo sapiens | reverse complement strand
ATTTTAAAAATGATCTGAAGAATTGTCTTAGGGACCTGTTTTGAAAATACATCTAATTCATACTGCTTCATAAATGGAAAATTACTTCTTCTTAAAAAAGGAATGATTAAAACAACAACAACAACAACAACAAAAAGACTAAGGAAAAGACACTGACGACAAAAAGAATTCACATGATAGTAGTATTCTGGGTGACAAGCAGCACACTGCAATGACACCGAGAAGCAGTGCTTGGATCTGGTGAGCAAAGATCCAGGGACTCACCCTATAACATGTTCCAAAATGTGATATTCAATGCTTCACAATGGGAAAAAGCCACAGCTCATACAAAAGCATTTTCATAAAATTCTCACAAATGTTAAACAGTATTTTAAAAATATAAAAGAGGATGCACAGATTTTCTCTGCATGCACAGGCAGTGCTTGGTGAGAACAAATTTAGGCAGGCACAGTGGAGATAGGACAGGAAGTGTCTCAAAAAGAGTTAAGAAGCTGGACCTAAGCAGCTGTAGGTTTTTAACTTTAAAAAGTTAAAGATTTAAAAATATCAGAATGTACATATATCAACCATTACATTCAGTCCATAAATGTCTACAGATCATCACTGTTCAGCTTATCTGTCCTAGTAGATAGTTTTCATAAAAATTCATGAATAAGTTGCCTCTGGTCTGAAAACATCCTAAGGTTGAAGCAGATTTATATGTAAAGAACCATGTTCTCAATTTAAAAAGAAAGTAGTACAAAAGGGCTAACAAAACCCTAAGAGTGCAAATCATGAGCAGAGAAAGTCTGTTGCAGCTTCTTTTACAAGCTGGCCTTTATAACACATGAAACAGGTTTAAAAAAAAATTTAGCCTCAGTTTACAATACAATCATTTCCAAATGATTTTAGTACAAAATTTCATAAATCAGGTCTTCTGTGGATCATATACAATCATAAAGGCTAAATTCAGATTCTGTACTTTACAAACAAGTCTGAAAAAGGAGGGAGTAAAGTATGGAAGAATGATCTCTGGATGTTGCTACTGGCCTCAAAAAAGCAGTGCTACAGATTTCTGTGTGAAGAGAATACGCTGTTCACACATTTTCCTATTTCCAGGCATGAAAATATTCTATTGGGTAGAAGAAATAGGAAAATCTCTTATGACAAATGAAAGACAGGTGCAAACACACCAATCCCTGTCTAGCAGTATAAAGCATATTGGGCTCAGAATTTGTCTGTTGCTAGCACCTGGCTTTCATACTATATCCTTATCAAATAATCAGATTGAAAGTCCAAATCATTCTTAAGCAAGCAAAAATCCTCAGTGGCCATACCTCACTCCCCTATGTTCAGATTTTCACAAGTTTACAAGTGAATCAAGGCTGTCCTCTGAAGGTGCTTGACTACCTCCTGCCAGGAAGGTGGATGCCGTTGACTTGGGGCAGGAAAGGCAGTAAGAGCTCCAGTTGTGCAAAAAGTGAGAAGTGGTCAGAGGGGATGAGGGGGTGCGGGCAGCCACTGATGTTATTCTCAACCAGCCAGTGGTGGTCCAGAGGGCCCAGGATGCCTAAGGTGTTCAGCTGAGGTTTAGAATAGAAAATGTAGTCTATTATACCCTGAAAAACAACAGAAAAAAAGATAAGCACCGTATAAGACAACACTAAAATCCTCAGTGCTTTCAAGACATGCCTTTATGTCATGTTTGGTGAACAGAACAGAACAAGTGAAACTTACTAGCTTGTAGGATGAGGTCTGTACTACATACACCAAATGGTCCCCGTGCAAAATGTCAAATCTAGCAGAATGAAGCATTCTTCTTATCTGGATCTTTAACAAGACCTAAAAGGCCTTTCAGGATGCAGCCTCTGCTTCTCTTTCCTAGCCTAATTTGTGCCACTTTCCCTGCTTCCACACTAGCCTTTGGAATGAGAAAGGGGTGAGGATGTGAGGGGACCTATAGGTACCAAGTTCTTTCCTGCCCCAGGACGGACGGACGGACGGACACACACACACACACACACACACACACACACACACACACACACACACACTGCCCCCCTCCACCATTCTGCCTGGAACACTTTCTTCTACTTGTTATGAGGTCAATTCCTTCTTAATCTTTCAATGTCAGGTTCAACTGCTTTCCAAAGACCTTCCTGAATCCTGCTCCTACCTACTTACTACCCTACCTCTCACCACAGATTCACTTCCCTTGCTAATGGCCATCTCAAGGTGTAATTATCTACTCATTTGTGTGGTTGAGACTTGTCTCTCTCATCACACCTCAGCTCCATGAGGGCAGGACTGTCTCTACCTGACCCCCTTTTCTCTCAGCAGCACCCCGCCATGGCATCTACTAAACTGTTCCCATCTGATGGTTCTGGTCCTCCCCTCTACATGCTCTTGGCCAAATGTACTGAAGCACATTCAAGTGTCTTCTTCCTGCCACTGCATCAGCAACAGAAAGAGAAAGAAAACGCTAAGCATTCCCACTCTGTGGCTGCTACCCATGCTTTCTCTTCAATGTCTCCTGAAGAACCTGAAAGGAAGGGGCACCTGAGGATAAACAGGGGTTTACTTTCTATGCTCTAAGGTGCAAAGGCTCCTGAGATACTATCTAAACTCTTATTTACACTCTGACAGTCTAATCTAAATGATTACTTTTCCAGCAGCTTAGAAATAGAAAGCTGGGAGTTAAGAAATTTTTAAGAAAGCAGAAATGCAAAAAGTAGTTTAAAAGGGCAGCTGAGCCAGATGTGGTAGCTCCCGTCTATAATCCCAGCACTTTGGGAGGCTAAGGCAGGAGGATTGCTTGAGGCCAGGGGTTCAAGATTGGGCTGGGCAATATAGCAAAACCTTGTCTTTACAAAAAATTACCAAAAAAAAAAGATCTGGGTATGGCGGCGGACACCTGTAGTCCAAGTTAGCGGGGAGGCTGAGGCAGGAGGGTTGCCTGAGCCCGAGAGTTTGAGGCTGCAGTGTGTTATCATCACATCACTGTACTTCAGCCTGGGCAAAATGAGTGAGACCATATCTCTTTTTAGAAAAAGGACAGTTGAACACAAGAAAGTGACAGCCCTAAACAATCACTAACGTTAAAAATGGTGTAAGTCTGACCAGGTGCGGTGGCTCATGCCTGTAATCCCAGCACTTTGGGAGGCCAAGGTGGGTGGATCACTTGAGGCCAGGTATTCAAGACCAGCCTGGCCAACATGGTGAAACTCCGTCTCTACCAAAGATACAAAAATTAGCCAGGTGAGGTGGCTCATGCCTGTAATCCCAGCTACTTGGGAGGCTGAGGTATGAGAATCACTTGAACCTGGGAGGTGGAGGTTGCAGTGAGCCGAGATCACGCCACTGCACTCCAGCCTGGGCAACAGAGCAAGACTGTCTCTAGGGGGAGAAAAAAGATGTATCTTAGAAACACTTAAAAATAGCTAATATAAATCACATTTTGGCATGCAAGAGTTTACTTTCAGTTAAATTAAAATGTAAGAGAAGGAACATCTTACCACAAATGCCACTCAAACTAGATAATTATGGTGCTGCATATCTAGCTATTAGTAATGAGAATATAAGAAACATAATTGTCCCCAAAAGGTGAAAAAGTCAACTTAGGAATTTTACAGATTATTTCATGTGACTTCTTATCCTGAAAATTATTAGAATAAATATCTACAAAGTAAGGATGTGACACTGATCACATGGACTTCTAAAAAAGAGTAATAAAAGAATATTACTGGCTGAGCACAGTGGTTCACGCCTGTAATCCCAGCACACTGGGAGGCTGAGGTGGAAGAATCATTTGAGGCCAGGAGTTCAAGATCAGCCTGGGCATAGCGAGACCCCATCTCTACAAAAAATACAAGAATTAGCCAGGCGTGGTAGTAGGCGCCTGTAGTCCCAGCTACTAGGGAGGCCGAGGTGAGAGGATCGTTTGAGCCGGCATGGTTGAAGCTGCAGTGAGCCATCACTGTGCCACTGCACTCCAGCCTGGGTAACAGAGTGAGACCTTGTCTCAAACAAAAAACAAAGAACATTGCTGTCAATGAATTCAAGACTGCTTCATTCCAGCCTGAACACACAGCCACAGTTTTAAAGACATAATGATGTATCAGAACACCTGCCAGTAAAAGACAGGTTTGAAAAGCTTATCAGTCTCAAGACACACCTTGAAATCAAATGTGTAATTCGTGTAAGGCATCAGGCCACTCTCATAGGCACTCTGTAACTTGAAACCATGAGTGATCCTTCCATTGGTGGTTCCATTCTTCCCATGACAGCTGAAGTTTGTGAGACTTTCATTATACCTCAACTCCTTAAAGTCTTTGTGATTTGTTTCTACTCCACCTGTGCTCAAATATTCTACAACACCTACAATGAAGACAAATTTTTTTATTGTCAAATATATACAAAAAGTAATTTTAAAAGATCATGCAATAGTAAGAAGTTTTAAACTATACATATTCCCACGTTCCAAAATGTTTCCTTTTACATTTGCCAGGACTTGCCCAAATCTATTTTTACACAGTTGTCATCACAGAGTATTGAATAGTTTATAATTTGCTTTATGAACATGTGTCTTCCCAATTATCGTTCTTTAATGGCTGCACAATGCAATTGGGCTGGTGGATAATATTTACTGGTTACTTATTTTGTAAAATGCAGGTTGTTTCCACTTTTTACAAAGAATTAAAGATAACACCACGATCAGCATCTTAGTATGCAGACTTCTGGCTTACGCTCAATTATTTACTTGGTATAAAATCCCAAGATTAGGACTGAATGTGCCATTTTATAATGCTGCCAACTATGGAAGAGAATACCACCAGCTAGTTACAGGCCAAACGTCCACATCCCTGGTGAAGTATTTTCCCAATTTACTAAGCATAAGATGGGCTATGAAAATATACTTTCATTTACATTTTATTCACAAATTAGCAAGGCTGGACATTTTCTGACCTGCCTGCTATTATAATACTGTATTTCTCAATGCTGAAATGGGTCTTGGATATTAATGTTTGACCAGATTTTCTCTTTACTCCTCAGATACTTTGTAGCTACACAGAAAGTAGAAAGCATGTAGAGAAATTGTCAGAGACTACTACTCAACTGCTTCAGGGGCAGTAATCCCCAGATAACTTGATGAGATGAAATAATTACAGATTTCAGATAGCTTTGATTTTCCCTGAAATTGAATTTTAACTCAGTTTTTCTTTCTCTCTCTTTTATTATCATATTATTATTATTTATAGTCTCGTTCTGTCACCCAGGCTGAAGTGCAGTGGTACAATCTTGGCTCCCTGCAACTTCTGCCTCTGGGGTTCAAGTCATTCTTGTGCCTCAGCCTCCCGAGTAGCTGGGATTACAGGCGTGCACCACCACGCCTGGCTAATTTTTGTATTTTCAGTACAGATGGGGTTTCACCATGTTGGCCAGGTTGGTCTCGAACTGCTGGCCTCAACTGATCTGCCCACCTGGGCCCCCCAAAGTGCTGGGATTACGGGCGTGAGCCACGGCACCCAGCCAGTTTCTTTCTTCCTAAGGGCTCTATCTATTGTGATGTCAAGAACGTGCTTCCAAATGTGCGTGTGTGTGTGTTCATGCGTACATTCACGTCCAAGGAAGAGTATTCCTGTGTGTATAAATGAGTTGAAACACAAAAAGAAAGAAACAGTTTGTTATTACAAGGGCTACTGTTTATTGTATACTATCCACGGAAAGAGCGCTCCAGATCAGGCTTTCTGTATTCTACATTTTAATAAAAATCAAGATCCTTGCTCTTTGTCAAAATCGCTTGACTGATATGTGTGCAAATAAAGGAGCTCATTTTCCACCTGAGGTGTATTTTTCTAATCAAGTTATAAATACATGCAAAATTGAGATTCTATAATTTTAACTCAAATTTAAACTATGATTATATTACCACACGCTGGAATCCCAAAGAGGCTGTCTTAATAACCATAATTATCTCTGACTTTGGAGTAATAAAATGGAACTACATACGTTCTTTAAAGAGTTATTTCACGTTATTGCTTATGTGTTTATTCAAGATGATTAACATCCTTCTCCTCAAGTTTCCATAATATCGTTTCATCTTCAAAATGGCCCCTCCACCCCAACATGATGTTTAAAACCTGCTCATAGCTGCCATTACAAACTGAATTTTTATTTGGACTTAATTTGGAATGATCAGAAACAAAACATTACTAAATCATCTTATGTCAAAAAATATTCTACATAAAATCACATTATTTTCTTACCAGAGTCTGGCAAAGAATTAAGATCTGCACATAACACAAGTGGAATAGTTCCAAATTCTCCCAAAACACTGGATTTGAGGTTGCGAGAGGCTTTATCAATAATGTTCTTCACTTCTGAGAGGAACATCATAGTTTGTACCAACTTCACATCAGAGTATTCAGGGTCCCAATGCATGTGGGCGTTAGCCACAAGAATAAGTTGTTTTTCTGTTCCAAGATGTGGCTTTCCGGCTACATTAGATAAAAACGAAACAAAGAAAGAGACAAAACCCGCCCATCAGCCCATATATTCTTACAGCGTCTGAAAGCAAATAATCTCTCAGAGTCCCAGAATAGAAAAGACACCTAAAATTCCCACCGGATGACTGAATGTGCCCTACAACAAACCCGAGAAATACACATCTCAACCTGGGCTGATGCTTCCAGCACAGGGCATTCACTACTTGTACAAAAATAGCCCTATTTGGGACAGCTTGATTTTTAAAATTCTGTCTCCCTGAAACTTTTGGTCTTAGTTTGGATGTCCTAAATCGAGCCTCACAAAATTACATCTAAACCCTCTTTCTTAGATTTAAGACAATCGTTAAGTCCTATTTCCATTTTTTCTATACTTCACATTAAATTTCTCCAGTTCCAACTGTTCCTCAAGTGACACAAGTTTCGGCTCCCAGCATAATGGTCACTTGAAATATGCTTTCAATTTGAAGTGGTCCATTTATCCAAAACTCAAGACCTTTAAAATAATTATTTTATGTATTTATTTATTTATATTTATTTATTTATTTATTTTTTGAGGAGTCTCACTCTGTCACCCAGGTTGGAGTGCAGTGTGACAATCTTGGCTCACTGCAACCTCTGCCTCCCAGGTTCAAGCAGTTCTCTCCCTCAGCCTCCCAAGTAGCTGGGATTACAGGCGCCCACCACCACACCCAGCTAATAAAATGATTATTTTAAATAGATCAGGAAAAGAAGTTAGCTTACAGAATATCCTTGCTGCCAAAAAATTACAAAAGTGTATGGAGTTCTTACCCCTGAGCAGTTATTTTAATTAATATTTACTTCAACATTTATTTTATATGAAAAATTCTTAGGAGCAAAAAAAAAAAAAAAGGTTTTTTAATGCTTTTCAAGGCTTCTAATACTTTAATGGGCAATGCTTTCTCATGTTAAGCTTTGTGGTAGAGAAAAAGAGATACATTTTAGGAAAGACAACTTCTCACTGAGTTTCTTCAGGTGTTAGACAAGACCATGAATACACAATGAAATTTCTGTTTTCTATTCTTTTGAAGATGTCTAGTCAGAGCTGGTCAATTTTACAGGAAGTGAAGGGCACTCACACGGCATTTCAATCGATTCCTTCCGAAGTTCTAGCAGTACTGCAACCCCAATGTTATCTTTTGTCATGACTCTGTTCAGCATAGCTTCAGACCCCTCAGAATTTGCCATGGCTAGCTGATTAAATTCAACAGTGTGTTTCTGAACCAAAGTAAATCTAAAACAAAAACAACACACACACACACACACAGAGTTGGGAATACCAAGAGGTTAGCTTTGTGGGAAACGCAGTTTTCCCAAACTTCCTTAACAGATACGATGGCACTTAAATCACATTACGGAAAATCCTCCACGTTCAGCATCAAGCTTCCCACATCCATTTAAAGTTGCTCTCAGTCTGTTATTGATACAAATAACAACTTGAAATATTTTTACAACTGAAGAAAATGTAGTCATCTTCTGTTTAAGTTTTATGTTGGAATATTCTACCTTGTAATTTTTAAACAATTCTTTTCTAAAGTATGGGTTTAAGAATCCCTGTACCGTCATAGAGGGAATTTTAACTACATGGTATTTCAATTAACAATTGGGAGTTAAACCCTAGTAAACACCTGAAGAAACAGCAGTACTTTAAGCATGTCTCCAAAACAAGGTTATTTCTGATGATTAAAAACAAACAAAAACCCCCTAGGTCAAACAGTATTCTTTGCTTCAGTAATAATATAGTGCCTCATTCTCTCATTTGCCAATTAGTTTCCACACCCTTGGCCCCCACCCTGCAAATACTGAGAAAACGTTCTTTTTAAAAAATAAGATGACTTACTTTTCTGTCTTGAAGAATATTGCACAGCCATCAACATGTTTCCTTTCTTGTTCTGACATTGTCCTAGCTCTAGACTTAGGACTGAAGAATCCATTATAGCCACGTTCTTTCAGCTCTACCAGAAAAAAACTGTAATACTGTTCCGTTTCAACCTCCTGAAAAGTTGTAAACAGCACAGTTATTTCATAAGACAAAAATTAGTCTGCATATTAACTTCTATGTATAGTTTGAGAGCTTGAAATAATTTCAAAGGACTGGTCTGCAGATTAAAGAATGTAACATCTTTCCGGGCCGGGCATGGTGGCTCATGTCTGTAACCCCAGCACTTTGAGAGGCCGAGGCGGGCGGATCACTAGAGCCCAGGAGTTCCAGACCAAGCCTGGCCAACATGGCGAAACCCCATCTCTACTAAAAATACAAAAATTAGCCAGGCATGGTGGTGCATGCCTGTAATCCCAGCTACTACGGAGGCTGAGAATCACTTGAACCCAGGAGGCGGAGGTTGCAGTGAGCTGAGATCATGCCACTGCATTCCAGCCTGGGGGACAGAGAAAGAGCCTGTCTCCCCACCACCCAAAAAAAAAAAAAAAAAAAAAAAAAAAGTAACATCTTTTCAACACTATTTATCTGAAACCAACTGGAACAGCGACTTGTCATTTTACAGGTACTAGGTACCAAGGGCAACTCATTGTTGTTTAAGAACAGTGAGTGAAAGACACACTTCTATGCATGTGTATTTCCTTATGTCTTAGAACTGAGGTGGAACAAGAACCACAGAGGTCGACGAACTTTACAAATCATAACTTCAGACCCTTGGGCAGAAAGTAACATGTTCAAGATCATATGAGTGACTATGAGAGTTGCACTGAGAACCCAAAATGTTCGTGTACCAAGTCAGTCCTTTTTACACGGTGCCTTAATTGTTCTAGCAACATGGTCGGCAATGCAAGTTATAGCTTGACCACGCTAGAATTTCAGTAACTTTGCCACCCAATTCAAAAATAGTGCAGGGACGCTGGAGGGAGGAGGAAGGTGAGTATTTAGCGGTCATGGCAAACGCATAAATCCCAGCTTAACACATTTGCCTATTTTGCAACATAGCACTGCAAAGCAAAGCAGGCAGTACTCCCAGGATTCACTAATAACAGAAAAAAGCAGTACTTTAAGAACTACTGAAGCTAAAACTTCAAATGTGTCAGCGTAATGTATTCCTAGTTGCTCCTTCCTTTATCAATGCTAGGTTGACTGTCTTCTGTCTGACTTACCTGAAGACTTACGATATCAGCATTGCAGCTCAAGATTTCTTGAATAATGGCCTTTTTCCTGTAGTCCCAGTTTAGCGCCCATGATGGACAGTAGCCGTATAACTGCCGGGTCGCATATTTATCACAAAGAACATTATAGCACATGACAGAAAACAAGGCTGTAGGAAAGATAACTTTACTTATTCACACATGTGGCAGAAAAAAATATATAATTAATTTCAGTAATGGTTTTCACTTAAATGTTAAGTTTGACCGTATTCATTCAATCTATAGTCACTGAAAAGCTACTGTACGCCACATATGGGGGATAAATAAAAGACGGATAATGCAAGCAGGATAGATAAGTGAACAAGTTAGAATACAATGTACTACCTGCTACAGAGGTAGGCACAGAAGGTCTGGAAGTGAAAAGTCTAAGCTCGTGAGCCCTTCAGTCTCTGAGCCTAACATTCCTCATTTCTATACTCCTTCTACCATGCTACCAACTGTTAATGTAAGATGTGGAAACTGGATAGGTAGTATCCTTAATAGGCATGCCTCATTTTCTTCTACAGCACAACTATTGTTAATTCATGCAAAATGAAAACGGTATCACAGACCAAATTTTGTTACACGCACCATGAAAGCTCCCAAACTATTTACATAGAATTTAGGTTAAAAGGAGATGAGCAGTCATTAGTTCCACTTTCCTCTAAGTAAGGGTTTGGCTCTCTTATAACTCGGTAGTGTCAAATCCATTTGGAACATGCTAGGATTTGGAAACTTCTCATAGAGAAAAATTTGGGTGTATTCATTTTAAGTGAATTTCATCAGTACACTACAGAAGGGTTTCTCAACCAGAGTCGCACTACTGACATTTCAGGTGAAGTCTGTTGTGGGGGCCTGTGCCGTGTACTATAGAATGCTGAGCAGCAACCCTGGCCTCCATCCACCAGACGCCAGCAGCACTTCTCCCCAGTTACGACCATCAAAATTGTCTCCAGACATTGCCAAATGTCCTCTGGGGGATAAACTGCCCGTTTGAGAAGCACTGCTTTATAGCACACTTTCTATATAGCACAATGTAGTATACATAGAGGTCATGTGAGCAAGAATTCTTTTTTATTACCTCCCAAACCAAACCAACCTTAAACATTTTGTCTTAATGCTACCTGTAATCTAAGCATGCTGACAATACTGTTAGGCTTATAGAGACTGAGCAAAAATAACAGTTAAAAAATAAAAGACTACCAACCAGTTGGCCTTGTCCTATCTGGTTCTTGTAACATAATCCAAGACCTTGGAGGTGGTTGTTCTGTTGTAACTAGTTGAATAGAAAATACAGAATTAAGCAATATTCTTACACGTCTTCCTAATAAAAAGGTTTAAACAAATAACCACTTACTTCTTTTTGCAGTACCTGACAAATTATCAAGCAAATAGTTCAGCAGCCGTCTTGTTCCATCTGGTTCCTGATAAAGGTTCAATATATCCTGGGTAAGGGGATTTCCTGGAAATATTTTTGAAATAAGTAAAATGAAACTAAGTAATAAAATGTTTCAAAATTTTAAAATGTATCAAAATTATCAGATCATCCATAACTATGTTATAGTTACTAGTAAGATGTCAGACTATAGAAAATATTGTTTTTTCAGTTTCTGATATAAGTAAAAATGATTCATACCATGTTCTATATACACATTCAAAACATAATGTTAATGGGCTGATGTCAATCAGAAATGCACTAGCAGTGCTCTATATCTGACCCTGCCTTGCCAACACTTTCAATAATACAGATGGTTATAACAAACAAGAGTGAGCAAAACACGAACGGGGCAGGCAGGTGACTGGGAGAGTGGGTGGGCAGAGGAAACAGTGAAGGGAAGGATGAAAGCCAGCGTAATGCATCAGAGAATCAAAACTCTACAATGTCACAAAGCTAACAACAAAACACCCTAATGACAAATATACACTTGCACTTAGATTTTTTAAAGTCATACTGAACAAAGCAACAAAATGGGGCTGACTTGGCTTAAGAATTAACTCACTAAGGAGGGGGAAAAAATCCCAGGGCCATGAGCCATCTGTAAATTCAATAACTGCTTTGTTCCAAAATGAGAGCAAAAACAATGATTTACATATACCTACAAGAATCTCAAATCCTCTCAGAAGGGTTTCTTATGTACATGAGAAATAAAAGTACAAATAACAACAGTGCAGCGCAGGGTTTCATGGAGCAAAGTTCCTATCCATCCTACACAAGCATTGTGTATTATTCTGGATGCCACAGCGCCATTTTAAGAAAACCAGACAAATTCTGCAGTTTGAAGAAGGCAGATAAAATGGTCAAAGATGTTAACCATACCAAATGAAGAAAAACTAAAGGATATGGTAGATAAGAATGATCAAAACCTAAAGGAAGTGTTTTTTCCTATTCTCTCATAAAAGACTGGACTCAAAGAGCAGAAGGAAGACATGCCTGTAATCCCAGCACTTTGGGAGGCCGAGGCGGGCGGATCACGAGGTTAGGAGATCGAGACCATCCTGGCTAACACGGTGAAACCTCGTCTCTACTAAAAATATAAAAGAAAAAAAAAGCAAAAACAAACAAAAAAAAACAGCCAGGCGTGGTGGCGGGCGCCTGTAGTCCAGCTACTCAGGAGGCTGAGGCAGGAGAATGGCGTGAACCTGGGAGGCAGAGCTTGCAGTGAGCCAAGATCGCGCCACTGCACTCCAGCCTGGGCAACAGAGCGAGACTCTGTCTCAAAAAAAAAAAAAAAAATTTAACAGGAAAGGCCAAGGCCGAATAGAAGAGGTTGGCAAACACTGTTAACTATTTGAGACACCCTGTGCTGTGAGGCAGTGGAGTATCCTTCAAAGAAGCTGAGTTGCATGGATGGGAAAAATGGCAAAGTTCATTTATCTTTAAGATCTTTCGGTTTTAAGATTCTAGGATTCTAAGAATTATAAAAAGAAAAATGTGCTGCTCTAAGTGCAAAGTAGGTATTTGCAGGAAGGCAATTACAAGAGTACCATTCTCTCACGTGTGTGTGGTTCTTTATACCCACCACAGCCTTTTCATGTTTTCACTGAGTCACAATCCCGTGAGATAAGCAGTTACAACCTGAAGCTTATCAGGACCCTTTGTGAAACACATCTTGAGAAAATGAAGTCAACTGAAAACTTCTCGGTATCAGGTAAACAGCTCATTCTAACCAGACCTACAGTGATGCTGTTTTCTTTTTCTTATTTTTTTTTTGAGATGGAGTCTCGCTCTGTTGCCCAGGCTGGAGTGCAGTGGCACCATCTCGGCTCACCGCAAGCTCCGCCTCCCGGGTTCACGCCATTCTCCTGCCTCAGCCTCCCAGGTAGCTGGGACTACAGGCAGCTGCCACCATGCCCGGCTAATTTTTTGTATTTTTAGTAGAGACAGGGTTTCACCGCATTAGCCAAGATGGTCTCAATCTCCTGACCTCGTGATCCACCCGACTCGGCCTCCCAAAGTGCTGGGATTACAGGTGTGAGCCACCGCGCCCGGCCAGGACTTCTTTTAAATTGAAAATTAATCTGCTCTTCACTACTTGGAAACAGAAAACAATATATATGAATAAAGTCAATAACAATAAAATTCTGGAATTAAAACTATACTGAGTCCTGAGAAAGAACAAAAAAGTAAATGAGAAGTTACTTTAGGGTAGATGGAGTAAAAACACTTTTCCCTATTCTTCCCACTAGGTACAACTAAAAGCACTGTATATTATGTGTAAAGCAAACACAAAACTCTGAAAAAAGGAGAGAAGGCAGAATAGCCAAAGACTGCAGGACCTGACGAACGGCACAGGGATGAGTTCCCTGGGTTCACTTTTTGCCTCAGATATGCCAGACATGCAGCTAAGAAGCCAGTAACATGGAAATACCAATGGGTACAGACCCAAAAGAATCCCAACAAAAGCCAAAGGACCAGGGAAGGGCTGCCTAAAAGGACAAAAGTTTTAGATAAGAACCACTGTACTCAAGCTTAACACTAAAGAAAAAAACGTGGTCCCATCTCTACCCATGCCAGCATGAGCAAGTGGAGAGGCTGGTAGACTTCTGCTGCAAGAGAAAGAAAGGAGGCGATATGGAGCTCCCTTCCTCCCTCTGAGGTGGTGTCAGAGGAGGCCAAGGAGAGTCAAGACTTTCACCATCTCCCTGCAATAAAGAGGACACGCCAGTGCGGTGCCTGTGGAGGCCGCGTGAAGAGCCAAAACTACCACCTCCACCAGAAGCAACGAGGAGCCCCCACTCCCAGGTGTCAGCGAAGGCCAAGTGGAACCTGAACTTCTACCTCCACTGGCAGTAAGGAGACAGTGCCTGGTTCCCTTGTCACAGCAGTGCTAGGCAAAGAAAACCAAACTAAAGGGTTTAAACAAGATCTAGAGTTTCATAACATGAGTGAGTCCAGTTTCAAATGAAAATAGCTCATCACACCAAGACACGAAGATATCAAATGCAAAAAGATAAACACAACTTCCAACCCTGAGATGACAGAAACAGAATTACCCAACCAAGACAAAGGAATCATGACAAAAATGCTTCAATGAGAAATTAAAAACATGCTTGAAAACACACACACACACACACACACACACACACACACACAAAACACACAAGAAAACAGGAAGACTGAGCAAAGAAACAAAGTTCAGGCAAATAAAACATTTAAAACCAAATGGGAATATTAGAACTGAAAAATAAAATAAATGAAGGCTAGGCACAGTGGCTCATGCCTATAATCCCAGCACTTTGGAGGCTGAAGCAGGAGGATCACTTGAGGCCAGGAGTTCGAGACCAGCTTTGTTAACATGGCAAAATCTCGTCTCTACAAACAAACAAACAAAACTAGCCAGGCATGGTGGCACATGCCTGTGGTCCCAGCTACTTGGGAGGCTGAGGTAGGAGAGCTGCTTGAGCCTGGGAGGTCAAGGCTGCAGTGAGCCAAGATCGTGCCACTGCACTCCAGCCCGAGACCTCGTCTCTTGATTGACTGATTGATTGATAGATAGATAAGAACACAGACCAACACCACCACCACCACCAACAACAACAAAAAGAACAAAGTCTCTGGGGCTTGTGGGACTATAACAAAAGATCTAACATTCATGTCATCAGAGCCTTGGACGCTGAGGACACGGAGGACAGGGCTGAAAAAGTACTCAAAGCAATAATGGCTGAAGATTCTCACAATATGGCAATAAATATAAACCAACAGATTCAAGAAGCACAGTGAACCCCTACACAAGAAAAACCCAAAGGAATCCACAGCAAGACACATCATAATTAAACTTCTGAAAACTAAAGACAAAGAAAAAACATCTTGAAAGCAGCCGGAGAAAAATGACACCTTACCTGCAGGAGAAAAACAAATTGGAATGACGAAAGATTTGTCATGATAAGCCATGGAAGCCAGAAGGAAGCAGCAAAATATTTTTCAGGTGTCGAAAGAACTGTCAAACCCAGATTCTTATATCCAGTGAAAACATCCTTCAGGAATGAAGGAGAAATAAAGACAATCTCAGAGGACAAAAAACTAACAGAATCTGCTGCCAGCAGATCTACCCAAAGGGAACCACTAGAAAAAGTTCTCTAAATACAAAGGAAATGATAAAAGAAGGACTTTGGAAGAAGAAAACAATATAGGTAAACAAAAAAATATGGGCAAATACGAGATTTCCTTAAGTTTTCTAAATCACGTTTGACAGTTTAAAAAATTTTGGCCCAATACGGTGGCTCACACCTGTAATCCCAGCACTTTGGGAGGGCGAAGTGGGTGGATCATGAGGTCAGGAGTTCAAGACCAGCCTGACCAACATGGTGAAACCTCGTCTCTATTAAAATTCAAAAATTAGCCGGGCATGGTGGTGGGTGCCTGTAATCCCAGCTACTTGGAAGGCAAGGTAGGAGAATCGTTTGAACCCAGGAGGCGGAACTTGCAGTGAGCCGAGATCGCGCCACTGCACTCTAGCATGGGCAACAGAGCGAGACTCTGTCTCAAAAAAAAAAAAAAAATCATAAAACTAATGTGATTCTAAATTTATGTAAAGAAAATATTCTGAACTGTTATCAATGGCAGTGAATAAAAGGATGTAAAGAGAGCTAAGGTTTGATATTTCCCTTGAACTGGTAAAATAACCCCCAATAGACTGTGGTAAGTTATACATCTAGTGTGATACCCAGAGGAACCATGAAACATCTATACAAACAGACACACTCAAACCACTACAGAAAAATCAAAATGGAATCTAAAAAATGTTTCAGTAACCCATAGGCAGGCAGAAGCAAAGAGAAAAAGACAAAAGATGAAGAAACAGAAAACAAAAAAATAAAATGGCAGACTTACGACTTACACCCTAACTTACTAATTAACTTTAAATGTAAATGGTCTAAATATACCAATTAAAAGACTGGTAGAATGGATTTAAAAATATGACCCAACTATATACTGTCCACAGAAACTCACTTCAGATGTAATAATAGAGGCAAGAAAGGAATGGCAAGAGATATATAATGCAAAAGTTGATCAAAGGAAAGCAGGAGTGGTTATATTAATATCAGATAAAGTGGACATCAGAGGAAATAAAATTGCCAGAGATAGAAAATAACATTATGTAATAATAAAGGCTCAATCCCTCAAGAAGACACAGCAATTCTAAGTGTGCTTCCAAACAAGAGAAGCACAAAATATTTTATGCAAAAACTGAGAGAACTAAAAGGAAAACAGAGTCTACAATTATTGTTGGAGACTTTAACACTTCTCTCTCCACAACTGACAGAACACGACAAAAACCTCACTACCATCGACCTAACAGACATTAAGTTAATATACAGGAGCTAATAGATATTTATAGAACATTCTACCCAAAAACAGAAAACACATTCTTTTCCAGTACCCAAGAAACATATGCCAGGATGGACCATATCCTAGGCCATCAAACAAACTTCAACAAATGGAAAAGAATTGAAATCACACAGAACGTTCACTTTCTGACCACACTGAAATCATATTAAAAATCGAGAACCAAGCCGGGGGTAAAGTGCTTGTAGTCCCACCTGCTTCAGAGGCTGAGGTGGGGGGATTGCTTGGGCCTCAAGAGTCGGAAGCCAACCTGGGTAACACAGCCAGACCTCGTCCCAAAATAATAAACAAACAAATAAAATATACTGAGCTAGTGAAAATAAAAATACAAATATCAAAATTTGTTGCTGGACATAGCTTCTAAAGCAGGGTTGGGAGGAAAATTTCTACATTAAATGCATGAAGACAAAAGTCTCAATAAAGACAGAAGCCTCAATTCAATAATCTAAGCTATCGCCTCAAGAAGCTAGGAAAAAAAAAAAGCAAACACAAGAAGGAAGGAAGGAAATACTAAAGAGCAGAACTCAATGAAATAAAAGTCTCCATATTGTTTCTGTCTAAAAAGCAATAGCAGGTTTTTTGTTTTTTTTTTTAAGGTGTTTCTGCCGAAGGAGGGCGCGCCTTCCTGGGCTACGCTGGAAAGCACTAGATACCAGGCCGCGGCTTTAGGTCACACTGTGAGGAGCAGGGGGCCCAGTCCGGCCAGCCCTAACCGCCCAAGGTCTCACTCTCCACAGGGGCCTCCTCCCGTGGCATGGATCCTGCACCAGACTCTCCATTCATCACGCCTCCAGTTATCCAGGTCCTTGCCATCTCCCTCTCCTCCCATGCGTCTGTCTTGGCCTCTGAGACTAAAGAACATTTCTTTTCTCCTCTCTGTGGACCACGTCCTGACAAAAGTGCCTCATCACTAGACCCCAGTAGCCTGGAGTGTGTTCCCTGTGGCCACGCACAGCTGTACCCTTCTGAGGCTCAAAGAGCCGATTCCTTCCTGGGGCCTCAGAACTGGTTTTGCAGATGTTGGCGGAAGGATGGACACATAGATCAATGAAACAGAATAAAAAATCCAGAAACAGATTCACACAGATATGCTCAACTGATTTTTGCCAAAGATGCAAAAGCAATTCAATGAAGGTAAGATCATCTTTCAATAATGCTGCTGGAGCAACTGGACATCGACAGGCCACACACACACAAAAAGAACCTTGAGCTAATCCTCACATCTTTTAACTCAATCGTAAGTCAAAATGGATCATAGACTTAAATGTAACATAAGACCATAAAACTTTTAAAAGAAAACCTAAGAGGAAAATCTTTGGGACTTAGAGCTATTCAAAGAGTTCTTAGACTTGAAACAAGAATCAGGATCCACAGAAGAAAAAACTGATAAACTGGGCTTCATTAAAATTAAAAACTTTTGCTGTGCAATGACCTTGTAAAAAGCTACATACTGAGAGAAATATGTGTAAACCACATATTCCACCAACGACTCGTACCTAGAATATATAAAGGACTCCCAGTAAAAAAGCAAATAATCTAATTAGAACATGGACAATGACAAGAAGAAATGTCACAGAAGAAAAACATTACAGATGACAAATAAGCACCTGCAAAGATGTTGGGTATCTTTATTGGGGAAATGTAAATCAAAACCATGAAATGACTACACATCTACCAGAATGGCTAACATAAAAACAGTCACAACACCAAATGCTGGTGAGGATGCAGAGAAAGTGAATCACTTTACAATGTAAAGCAGTACTTACACTACAGAAAACCACTTAGCAATTTCTTAAAAAATTAAATATACAACCCTCAAATGACCCAGTAACTGCACTCCTGGACATTTATCCTAGAGAAATGAATAACTATATTCACACAATAACCTGCACACTGAATGTTCACAGCAACTTTATTTGTAACAGCCCCAAATTAGAAGCCACCCAGATTTCCTTCAGCAGGTAAATGGTTAAACTAACCACGAGACATTTATATCATAGACTACTACTTTTGTCTATTTAAAGGAACAAACTATCAATACATGCAACCAGGACAAATATCCAAATAATTAACCTGAGTGGAAAAGCCCATCTCAAAAGACCGCATACAGTATGATTCCATTCAGTAGCATTCTTTTTTTTTTTTTTTGAGACGGAGTCTCGCTCTGTTGCCCAGGCTGGAGTGCAGTGGCACGATCTCGGCTCACTGCAACCTCCACCTCCCAGGTTCACGCTATTCTCCCACCTCAGTCTCCCGAGTAGCTGGGACTACAGGCACCTGCCACCATGCCTGGCTAATTTTGTTTTTGTATTTTTAGTAGTGACGGGGTTTCACCATGTTAGCCAGGATGGTCTCGATCCCCTGACCTCGTGATCTGCCTGCCTCAGCCTCCCAAAGTACTGGGATTATAGGCGTGAGCCACTGCGCCCGGGATGGTAGCATTCTTAAAATAGCAAAACTTAGAAGCAGTGAGCTGGGGCAGGAACAAAGTAGGTGTGGCTATAAGAGTGTAACAAAAGGATCTTCTGGTGATAGAGATGTTCTACATCCTTTTCTAAATGGACATATAATTGTGTATGTTTATGGGGAACAATGTGA
This sequence comes from Homo sapiens, assembly GCF_000001405.40. Taxonomy (NCBI): domain Eukaryota; kingdom Metazoa; phylum Chordata; class Mammalia; order Primates; family Hominidae; genus Homo; species Homo sapiens. The sequence continues at coordinate 180,556,505 of NC_000005.10, read as the reverse complement.
TGTTTCCACACAGTTATGCATTGTGGAATGATCAAATCAGGCTAATCAACATATCCACCACCTCGAATACTTATTTGTGGTGAAAACATTTAATATCCATTCTTTTAGCTGTTAAAAAATACACATTATTATTAACTATAGTTACTATGCTATGCAACAGATCACCAGACCTATTCCCCCTGTGTAAATGAAACTGCGCACCCTCTGACCAACACCTCTCCTTTCCACTCTGTCCCCCGTCCCCAAGCCTCTGGGAACAACCATTCTACACTCTACTTCTATGAGTTTGACTTTTAAAGACTTCACACATAAATGAGATCATGTTGTATTTGTCTGTGTCTGGCTTATTTCACAAAATATTCTGTGTCTTGACTGTTCTATGTACGATAACGTGAAACTATAGTTTTGAAAGATGCTACTATTGGAGGGAGTTGGGTAAAGGGGATAGGATTGTTCTGTATTATTTCTTGTAAGTGCATGTGAATCTACAAGTATCTCAAAATAAACAGTTTAAGGAAAAAAAGTGAATGGGCACCTAAGGTCACAGTCCTGCCTTTAACTGTAGTACTGCGGCACAATTTTGAAGAGTATTTAAAAATGTGGGGGGAAAAAGTGAAGCCTGCCAGCCATTCTGCAACAACTTCAAAGAAAATGGTATGAACTGATTCATGAGGCAGAAATACTTTGGTTCTGCAAGAATGTATGACGTATAATAGCAAACAAACATGACTCTGAACTAAGTGATATTATTTTCTCTCTTCCAAGCGGATGCCGGGAGAAATCAATGATAGTTTTCAGAGGGCAAAGATGATACAATTGCTTTAAGAAGTAAAGCAGCAGCTCTACCCCCAAACGGATCATTCCACCCAATGTTCCGACACAACATTAGAATTAAAGTGTAAACTGCAAAAGCTCAGAAAAAATAAAAGGATTTGTCCAAAGGAAGTAAAACCAGTAAAAGAAGACTGCTATTACAGATGTGTAATGCTGTCCAGCAGGATATGTGAGATAAGCAAATGTCTCTTTGAAACTACACTTCCAAGAAATAAACACAGATGTCTAGAGGTGATAAAGTAAAGCATCTGAAATGGAAAAGCAAGGGATCATCAAAAATGAAGGAGTCATAAAGAACTGCCCTACTGCTGCAGGCATTTACACTTAGAGGCTTTCCTGTACATTAAATCAGTATGAAAATTTATGGCCTGGTGCAGTGGCTCACGCCTGTAACCCCAGCAATTTGGGAGGCCAAGGAGGGCAAATGACTTGAGGTCAGGAGTTTGAGACCAGCCTAGCCAACAGGTGAAATCTCGTCTCTGCTAAAAACACAAAAAATTAGCTGGGCATGGTGGTGGGTACCTGTAATCTCAGCTACTCGGGAGGCTGAAGCAGAAGAATTGCTTCAACCAGGGAGAAGGAGGCTGCAGTGAGCCGATATCATGATGCCACTGCACTCTAGCCTGGGCGACAAGAGACTCTCTCTCAAAAAAAAAAAAAAGCAAATTTGTGACTGGTGACCCTAACTTCAAATAAAGTTTGTGAAAAGCCTTAGTGAGTACGAATTACAAATTACAGTTTGTAAAATATATAGTGTAAGATTAGGAAAACCTTGAATTGGAAAAACATACCTCCGCCATGAGGAAGACTGGAAGAACAAAGAGGGTCTCAACATTCTGTAATGTTCCATTTCTTTTGCATTAAAAAAATTATACACAAAAATGATAAAGTATTCACTGTTAATTCTGGCAGTCAGTATATGGACACTTTGCCACACAGTACTTTTCTGTTCTTCAAATTTAGAAACAGCTAGACTGGGAAATATAACAGAAAAGGGCATCTTCATCTTGCATTTCACTGGCCTTTATATTTAGAAGCCTTAGCTAGTTCAGCCCACACAGAAAAAAAATTACAAACCATTTACAATGTTGATATCTGTTGAATATGACTTTCCGTACATTTTAAAACATATATTTCTATTTATTTAAAAAAAACTGTTCTTTTATGATATATAAAATATTTACAGGACTAAAACCTTTTATATAACTGTATTTTTAAGAAACTAAGAGTGCAATTCCTTTTTTTTTTTTTTTTAAGACAGAGTCTCGCTCTGTCACCCAGGCTGGAGTGCAATGCCACAATGTCACCTCACTTCAACCTCTGCTTCCCAGGTTCAAGCAAGTCTCATGCCTCAGCCTCCCAAGTAGGTGGTACTACAGGTGGGAACCACCATGCCAAGCTGACTTTTGTATTTTTGGTAGAGATTGGGTTTTGCCATGTTGCTCATGCTGGTCTTGAACTCTTGGCCTCAAGATATCCACCCACCTCAGCCTCCCAAAGTTTTGTGATTACAGGTGTGAGCCACTGTGCCCGGCCTAAGGGTGCAAATCTTGACGACTTCATCTAGTGACTTTTTTGAAGAAGCAACTGTACAGTAGGCTAGACACACCTACCCAAGGCTGGTGAAGAACTGCTTAACATGATAAAAAATTTATAGGCATTGACATACTGTCAAAATATAACTTTCAATATTGTTGGCTTAAAAAATATTTATTTCCTAATAGTTCTTGCTGGATCAATTATGGCCCTATAATCACAAGTCCTCATAAATCAAGTTTTTTTAAATATGCTTAAATCTTGATCATCAGCAGGTTCAAATGGTCAACATTTTCGACTTCCTGTTTTCTGTACTATATGAGAGGCTCCATGTTTTTTGAGATTTGAATCTAAGAAAAACAGCTGTTTATAACATGATGAAATAAAGCATAGCCTCAGGGATGTATCACCAGAACACAGGGTTTATTAAAACAGAGGCTAGAAAAGAAGGGCTGGGTCCGGAGCAAAAAAAAAGAAAACAAAGACTAGTAGATAGTCTACAGCTGAACAGAGAAGATAAAACCATTGCGATATAGCTAAGAAACTGATGAAGTCTGGGGGAAAATGAGTCTTTAAAAGAATCCCCTAGCAGAAAGCTTCTTGGCTTCTTTAGATTCAAAGACATATACACAAACCATAAGAAGTACAAATATGGAAGTCATACCTTTCAGGCCTAAAGTCTGCAACTGAAACAGTTTTCCCAGCTCAAAAGGTAGAACTCGTAACAGGTTGTTATTTAAATGGAGCTCCCTGTTGATGTAAAAATTCCAGGAAGTCAGAAAAATATGTTAGCCTTTAACAGTTAAAATCAACAACATAGTTTCTAGGAACATAAGCACCTAAGAATGAAAAAATGTTACGTTATATTTCAATGTCTAGTACTGCGTTTCTTAAATAACATGTGGTTTAAAAAAAAAAACTGCCAGAGAATACAAGAAACAAATTACTAGAGAAAATGAAATAATGGGGGAAAAGGACAAAATGTAAGACCCAATTTTTAAAAAGTATTAGATTTAACAGACATATAAAATTCCTCAACTGCTGTATTAATCTCACTGCAGACTGGCAAGACAGTTTGCAAACTGGCACCAGGTCACAGACCACACTGAGTATCACTGGTCTAGTACACATGGGGTCTACTACACATTTAAGAAAGTGGAAATGATAAAGCAGCCTACCATGTGAATTCTTAAAAGAGAACTAAAATGATCATTTCGTTAACGACTCAAAAGAGCTCGTAACAGCTGCATAATTAAGCTTATGATTGCTATCAACTAAAGTTGCATTTAAAAAATAACAGCAGCTGTATTAACTGTTCATGATTATTCTTAATATGATTTGTTTTGCAGAGATAATCATGATATAAATATCAAAGGAACCTTCAAGGGTGAGCCGGGGGGACACGCGGGGAAAGAACCACCAGAGACCCAATACGGACACAGTGGCAATGTAACGCATGCAGTTTTATTTTTCAATTTTTTTTTTTTTTTGAGACGGAGTCTCGCTCCATTGCCCAGGCTGGAGTGCAGTGATGCGATCTCGGCTCACTGCAAGCTCCGCCTCCCGGGTTCACGCCATTCTCCTGCCTCAGCCTCCCGAGTAACTGGGACTACAGGTGCCTGCCACCACACCCAGCTAATTTTTTTTTTTGTATTTTTAGTAGAGACGGGGTTTCACCGTGTTAGCCAGGATGGTCTCGATCTCCAGACTTTGTGATCCGCCCGCCTCGGCCTCCCAAAGTGTGCTGGGATTATAGGCTTGAGCCATCGTGCCCAGCCTATTTGTCACTTTTTAAGTGTGCAAGAAATCTATTTCTATAATCTTTGGTTTTTGACATTTAAATGAATCTTGGTTACTGAGCAAGCCAGAAGGTCTGTGTGGCTGTAAACTCAACAAGAAGAGCAAGTTCTGATATCTGGCTCCTGTTTATTTCCAAATACAATATACAGAAAAAAGGAGGTCCCTCGGGCTGGGCACGGTGGCTCACGCCTGTAATCCCAGCACTTTGGGAGGCCGAGGCAGGCAGATCATTTGAGGTCAGGAGTTTGAGACTAGCCTGGCCAACATGGTGAAACCCTGTCTCTACTACAAATACAAAAATTAGCTGGGCATGGTGGCACACGCTTGTAATCCCAGCTACTTGAAAGGCTGAGGCAGGAAAATCACTTGAACCCGGAGGCAGAGGTTGCAGTGAGCCGAGATCACACTATTGCACTCCAGTCTGGGCGACAAGAGTAAAATTCCGTCTCCAAAAAAAAAAAAAGAAAAAGAAAAAGGAGGTCCTTCAAGTAAATTTGTTTCAGAGGACTAAAAACAGTCATAGAACAAACTCAATTAAACCTAAAAAAAAGTCAAAAGGCTGGAGTAGGAGCAATAGAGGCAAAGACCTTTCAAAAGGTCCTTATTCCTTTTTACTACATGGCTAATGGCAGAAGGCAGCAGGAAAGCCAGTGGAACCATGTCAAAAAGTCAGTTAACATGAAATAGTACAAAATATTCCATTGGGATTAACATAATACATGGAATTTAGCTTTATATTAACTTGGTTAGATCTTATCTACCTTATAAAACAGAAGTAAAATAATAATAATAATCATGGGCCAGCCACAGTGGCTCATGCCTGAAATCCCAATTCTCTGGGAGGCCAAGATGGGAGGATCTTTTGAGGCTAGGAGTTTAAGACCTGCCTGGGCAACATAGTGAGACCCTCATCTCTATCAAAATAAACATAGCAATGACCATTTCTTTTCTTTCTTATTTTCTAGAGGGGAGGAGGGTAGAGACAGGGTCTTGCTCTGTCACCCAGGCTGGAGTGCAGTGGCATGATCTCTGCTCACTGCAACCTCAACCTCCTGGGCTCAAGCCATCCCTCCACCTCAGCCTCCCAAGTAGCAGGGACTACAGGTGCATGCCACGAAGCCCAGCTAATTATCTGGGGATTTTTTTTTTTTTTTGTAGAGACCAGGTTCTCGCTATGTTGACCAGACTGGTCTGAAACACCTGGGCTCAAGCAATCAGCCCGCCTCAGCCACTCAAAGTACTGGGATTACAGACATGAACCACCACATGCAGTCTGCAATTACCATTTCTTAAAACACAGTATATGCCAGGCAAGGTACTAGTGTTTTTTTACCCATTATCTCAAACATCCCTTATCCTGGGTCAAGAAGGTTGTCCAAGATCACACAACTCATAAATGGCAAAGTTAAGATTCCAACCTGAACTTACACATGTGAATCCAAATGCTATATATTTCATGCTACAGGCCCCCAAATTTAATAATTATAGCTCCTTCAAGTCCAGGCTTTACTACTATCAAACATACAAGCCCTGGGATGGCAAAAAGGTTTCACCAACTGGCAATGGTTTCCTGGACCCTGTGTTAAGGATGGTATGGTGCCCTGTTTGTCATGAGGAAGTATGTGGGATAACATAAGCACCTTGCAGTCTACCCACTCTCTGTCCAAACTTTCTCATTCAAAAATAAAGTCTATTACACAAAATACAGTAATTAAAAAATTCAGCCAATGATCTACTTAATTTATTATTAGCTGACATTCAATTTTCCCAAAAACAAAACTATAAAGTTATAAAGGATATAGTTATGTTTCCTTTTATTCAAATACCATTAAATGAACAGTTTTGTTTCCTAACACAACAAATGTTTTTTTGTTTTTGTTTTTTTTGAGATGGACTCTCGCTCTGTCACCCAGGCTGGAGTGCAGCGGTGTGATCTCGGCTCACTGCCACTCCACCTCCCGGGTTCACACTGTTCTCCTGCCTCAGCCTCCCGAGTAGCTGGGACTACAGGTGCCCGCCACCACGCCTGGCTAATTTTTTGTATTTTTAGTAGAGATGGGGTTTCACCATGTTGGCCAGAATGGTCTCGATCTCCTGACCTCATGATCCTCTCGCAGCCTCCCAAAACGCTAGAATTACAGGCATAAGCCACTGCGCCCGGCCTATATTTTGTTTTAGGGGTCATATAGCTAGTATGTATTAAGTTGAATCTGCATACCTGAGTGATACCATGTTTCCGAGTTCTGCGGGTAAGCTACGAATTTTATTAGATGACAGGTCCAAATACACCAGATTGTGAAGCTTGGCAATGTCTGAAGGAATTCGGGACAGGGAATTGTCACTCAAATGCAAAGCTGTCAGGTGAGTTAGTGACCACAAAGATGCGCTTAAGCTTCTTACTTTTCCTGTAAGAGAAAAAAATACAGGAACGGATTATATAGTTTTCTCTACATTTTGTTCTGTAGATTTCAGTAAGATTTAGATGTTTTTATGAGTAACTTAAATTATTATCCAAAAACTTGTGAGAAGGGGTTAACAGGAAATCTTACCTATTCTACGATTCATTGCTATGATTAAGTTATAAGCTCCTCACTTAGCAGGTTAAAATAAAAAGTTAATGTACCAATACTACTTAGAGTGCATCTTTATTTTTAGGAGCACAAAAATAATTTATCCTTTTTTTTTTTGAAACGGAGTCTCGCTCTGTTGCCCAGGCTGGAGTGCAGTGGCGTGATCTGGGCTCACTGCAAGCTCCGCCTCCCGGGTTCATGCCATTCTCCTGCCTCAGCCTCCAAGTAGCTGGGATTACAGGCACCCGCCACCATGCCCGGCTAATTTTTCTCTATTTTTAGTAGAGACGGGGTTTCACGGTGTTAACAAGGATGGTCTCGATCTCCTGACCTTGTGATCTGCCCGCCTTGGCCTCCAAAAGTGCTGGGGTTACAGGCATGAGCCACTGTGCCCGGCCAAATTTATCCTTTAAAATGATCTCAGATATGAGAGGGAAATATGATTAATTTATAGTAATGATAAATCCAATATCTGAACGTCATGACTGGTTTGGACTTATGCAAAATAACACAAATTCTACTATCTCAGAGGCTGTTCATATCTCCAGAAAACAAGAATTTTGCCTAAAAACAAAAAGGAACACAAGGTACTCTTAGCTGAGTTTTAAGAACTGAGTACCCTAGTGATAACTGCATGAAGAACCACATGGCTAAGCAGCATTTTGTATTATATGGTAACAAGTAAAAACACTTGCCCAGAAACGCTTCAGATAGTAAGTCAGACCTTTATAATCAAATAGTAGTAGGCATAAGATTCAGTGACTAAGAACAGAATGATAAAACCTTTCAATGCAACAGTAAATCTGCACTTTGACACTTCTTGATAAATTGTCAATGGTTTCTACAATCTAAGAATGTTCCCCATAATCTCCTTACTGGTTCAGGATCTAATCTGAGAGAGAATGAAACAAATGTAATAAAAACATACCAGTCTTTCAGAACTGATTAATTTTCTATTGGCTGAAGAAAACGCGACCTTGAGACTTCCAACCAAGATAAGAGTAACAGGAACTAAATTTACCATGCCACCTGTGACAACCATCGTATCAGATAATATACATGAATCAGCAAATTTCTAAGATGAGACACCAACCAATGCAGGAGAGTCATTCCTGAAGGGTGGGAAACAAACAGGGTAGACCCTATAACTGTCTCAGCTTACTCCTTGGACAGCACTTACAGGAGGCAGCCCAAGGAGGGGAATCCCAGGTAGAGGACAGTGATCCTCCCTGAGTTCCAGAGACAGAAAGTCCAGGGAAGCCAAGGTGATTAGAAATCAAGAGGCAGAACATCAGAGAGAAGAGAAGAGAACAGAGAGAAGTCTGGAGATCTGATGGGGCCCCCCACTCCCTGGCTCAAGTTGTCAACAGGGTATTGATCGACACATGCATGTGAGAAACTACCTGAGCCAGAGGGAAAAAAACACCTGAAAGGATGGTGGAGGCAGCAACCCCCAAGTTCACACAGAACTGAGGCTAGACTTCGTTCCTAAATGTCAGAGGAAGGACTGCTAAATGGGTACAGCGTTCGTTTTTGGGATGATGAAAATGTTCTGATTGTGGCAAATGTGGCACAACTCTGTGAATATACAAAACCCACTAAACTGGCACTTTAAATGGGTGAGCTGTACAGTGTGTGAATTGTATCTCAAGGTATTACACAAGAAAAAACAGCAGAAAATGTCTATGTTTGATGAAAACTCTAAACTCACAGATACAAAAAGCTTAATGAGGGCAGGATGCGGTGGCTCATGCCTGTAATCCCAGCACTTTGGGAAGCTGAGGCGGGCAGATCACCTGAAGTCAGGAGTTCAAGACCAGCCTGGCCAACACGGTGAAACCCCATCTCTGCTAAAAATACAAAAATTAGCCAGGTATGCTGGTGGGCGCCTGTAATCCCAGCTTCTAGGGAGGCTGAGGCAGGAGAACCGCTTGAACCCGGGAGGTGGCGGTTGCAGTGGGCTGAGCTGGTGCCACTGCACTCCAGTCTGGGCGACAGAGTGAGACTCCAGTTCAAAACAAACAAACAAACAAACAACTCCATGAACTCAAACGTATGAAAATTTCATAAAAGAAAATTACATGTACATCTTAACCAAATGGCTTAAAAGAGAAAATCTAAAAAGCCACCAGAGGGGAAAAACATTTCATATGGGAGGAGCAAAGATAAAATGCAGCAGACTCCCAGCTGTAAACAATAAGAGAGACTGACAGAGGAGCACAATTTTCTTTTCTTTTCTCTTTTTTTTCATGGAGTCTCGCTCTGTTGCCCAGGCTGGAATGCAGTGGCGCGATCTCAGCTCAGTGCAGCCTCTGCCTCCCAGGTTCAAGCGATTCTCCTGCCTCAGCCTCCTGGGTAGCTGGGATTACAGGCGCCCGCCACCACGCCCAGCTAAGTTTCATATTTTTAGTAGAGATGGGGTTTCACCATGTTGGCCAGGCTGGTCTCGAGCACCTGACCTCAGGTGATTTGCCCACTGTGGCCTCCCAAAGTGCTGGGAATACAGGCGTGAGGCACAGCGCCTGGCCAGGAGTAAAAACTTTACTGTAAGGAAAAAAAAAATCCTGTCAACCTAGCAAATTACCAAAAATAGCTTCCAAAAATGAAGGCAAATTAACTTCTGACAAAGCTTGAGCAACCCTAATCCAAAATGCTCCAAAACCTGCAACTTTCTGAACAATGACATGAAATAGTGACTTCCTTGCTTTCTGATGGTTCAATGTACATAAACTTGGTTTCACGTACAAAATTTAAAACATTGAATAAAGTTACCTTCAGGCTATTTGCATAAAGTATGTATGAACCATAAATGAATTTCAAGTTTTAGACTTGGGTTCCAACCCCAAGATATCTCATCACATACATATATGTAAGCATTCAAAAATAAAAAATAAAAAAATCTGAAATCCAAATCACTTTTGATCCCAAGGGATATTCTAGTTAAGCAATACTCAACCTGTATAGAAAAGGTGAAATGATTCATTGCCAGTTGATCTACCTGATAGGAAATTAGAGAAAATTCTTTAAGCAGAAGAAATAAAATACCAGATGGAAATCTACATTAACAGAAACGAACACCAGAAATAGTGAATACGTGGGTATGTATGAGATTATTTTCTCTACAACTATTTAAAATGTAATTGACTACTTAAAGCAATATTAGAAATAAGATAACGTGGGTGTTATGACATATGCAGAAGTGACACATCACAAAGAAATAATGGATGGGAGGAGGAAACAAAAGTGTACTGTTGGGCTATTATCTGCATGTAAAGAGGTGTACTAGTACTTGACAGCACACTGTGGTAAGTATAAGACACCATAAACCCTAACTAATAAATCGAAGAGTTATCGCTAAAAGTCAAACAAAGGAGGTAAAATGGAATGATTTAAAAAAAGCTCTATTATTTCAAAACAAGACAGTGAAGAAAAAATAGAAGAAGCTTTATTATTTCAAAACAAGAGAGTGAAGAAAAAATAGAACAAAGAATAAATGATATGAATAAAAAAATAGCAAGATGGTGAATTTTAAATTTAACCATAGAAATAACCACATTAAAATCAAATGGTTGGGCTGGGTGCGGTGGCTCATGCCTGTAATCCCAGCACTTTGGGAGGCCGAGGCGGGTGGATCATGAGGTCAGGACATCGAGACCATCCTGGCCAACATGGTGAAACCCCCATCTCTACTAAAAATACAAAATTAGCCAAGCAAGACTCTGTCTAAAAAAAAAGAGAGAGAAAGAAATAAAACATAATTTTCAAACCGAGTGAAAGATCTAACAGACACTTCACCAAAGAAGATATAAACAGATGGCAAATAATCACATGAAAAGATGCTCAAAATTGGGAGTCATTAGGGAAATGCAAATTTAAACCACTCTGAGATAGCACTACATACCCAGAAGAATGGCTAAATTTAAGACTTGTGTTGGTGAGGGCATGGATCAAAGACATCTAGTAGGAATATGAAACAAGACATCTTTGCAAACCAGATTCAGTTTTTTAAAAAGTTAAACATACACTTACCATATGATCAATTCCATTTTTTAGGAAATAAAAGTTATGCCCACACAAAGGGGAATGTTCACGGCAGCTTTATTTGTAATAGTCAAATATTGGAAACAACCCAAGTGTGTTCAACAGGAGAACAAATAAACAAATGCTGGCGTAGCCATACAATGGACTACTACTCAGTAATAAAAAAGAATGAACTACTAAAAACCAACAAAACACTATGGATGAACTACAGGATAAGTATAGAGGATAAGAGCAGACCAAAATCACCAAAAACAACAAAAAAAATGCAAGGTGTCCATTTTCATGAAAAAAAGAAAAAAGGGTACATACTGTATAACATCATTTATACAAAAATTCCACAAAATGCATACTAATCTATGGTTATAGAAAGCAGAACAGCGGTTGCTTAGAAATAGGGGAAGGAATGGAGAAACAGGAGAGGTGGGGAAGGAAGGATCACAAACTTTCAGGATCGATGAATATGATCATTCTTGATTGTGGTGATGGTTTCACGGGTGTACACAGTCAAAATATACACATTATTCACTTTATACACGCCAATTTTGAATGTCAACTAAACTTCAGTAAAACTGTATAATAAAATCTATCTTAATCTAAGAAGGTATTTCCCTTACTTTGCTATAAACAGAACAGACACCATACCACAAGCTATTTGTAGAACAAAATTTTATTTACTTAATTTTCCATTCATAAAACTGAAAACACACAGCTGATATTCAATATGAATAAGGCATTTAATATAAAACAATTTGTTGTTTTTTTGAGACAGGGTCTCATTCTGTCACCCAGGCTGGAGTGCAGTGGTGTGCTTGCTCATAGCTCACAGTAGCCTTTAACTCCTAGGCTCACGTGATCCTCCTGCTTCAGCTTCCCAAGTAGCTGGAACTACAGGCGTGAGCCACTGCGCCTGGTTCCCTACTAAGTTTTCTGTGTCTTTGCCCTCTTCACTCAAGAGAGGGGAAGGGTATGCCTAAAGAAGCAAACAGAGCTCCTGAATGGAGACATACAACTTCTACGGATTTATGGCGGTTCATTTTCAAAGCCTGCCAATTTGTATAGCTCCTTTTCCCATACAGGGTGATCATAATTCCATCTGCCAGAAAAATAAGCTGACAATTCAAGAAGGTAGAAGGTAGCCAGAAAGAAAACCACAAAGTCTGGGAATAAGGGAAAGGAAAAAAAGCCAAGTAAAGGAATAAATCATATATGAGGTAGAGGCAGGAAGACAAGGAGAACTCGGATGCCTACCATACACACACACGATTCTGGAATAAATTTCTAAGTACCAAAAAACCAGGAAAGAAATGAAACAGAATAGTTATCAGCATAACTCAAACACTAGAATTCAAATATGAAAACAGTTGTCAGGTTTGAATTCATTAAAATGTAAAACTTCTTTCTATATGGTGAAGACACCAACTTATATGGGAAGCTAACCATTATTCAGTCAATTTTCAGTATCCACCATGCTGGTATGGGGATAGAATGGTAAATAATAGCATGTGCCTGCCCTCATGATTTCCTGTGAGTTTTATAATGAGAGAAAAGAAAACAAAGAAATCAACAGGAAAATGAACAATGGATAAGAATAGGTCACTTAAAAAACAAAGTCATGGCCAGGAGCGGTGGCTCACGCCTGTAATCCCAGCACTTTGGGAGGTCGAGGCGGGTGGATCACGAGGTCAGGAGATCGAGACCATCCTGGCTAACACAGTGAAACCCCATCTCTACTAAAAATACAAAAAAATTAGCCAGGCGTGGTGGCGGGCGCCTGTAGTCCCAGCTACTTGAGAGGCTGAAGCAGGAGAATGGCGTGAACCTGGGAGGTGGAGCTTGCAGTGAGCTGAGATCGTGCCACTGCACTCCAGCCTGGGCAACAGAGCAAGACTCCCTCTCAAAAAAAAAAAGTCATATTAAAAATAAATCTTCAAACTCAGTAATAAAAAAATGTTTACGATAGCAAAATAAAAAAGACTAATATCCAATATTGACAAGAAGGGGGAAACAGACACATTCTTTCATTTTGGGAAACATGCAACTATTTTGAAGCCAATCTGGTAATATCTACTAAAATTTTAAAGCTGAGTCGTCTTTGCCCCATCAATTCCACAATTTGTGATTTACCTTATGAAAACACTTGTTCAGGTATGCTAAGACATATATTGTTGGGGAAAATTAGAAATATAAACGATCATGAATCGAGCATACTGAATTACGTTTCATTCATGTAACATTCCTTAGCCATATTCTCTTTTAGAATGAAATAGTTACATACACTGATGTGGAACTATGTTCACAACAAATGAAGCAAAAAAAGCAAACTTCAAAACATGGTACTTCATTTTTGTTTAAAAAATCAGAGTGCAGGCCGGGTGCACTGGCTCACGCCTGTTATCACAGCACTTTGGGAGGCCGAGGTGGGTGTACCACGAGGTCAGGAGATCGAGACCATCCTGGCTAACACGATGAAACCCCGTCTCTATTAAAATCACAAAAAATTTAGCCAGGAGTGCTGGTAGGCACCTGTAGTCCCAGCTACTAGGGAGGCTGAGGCAGGAGAATGGTGTGAACCCAGGAGGCAGAGCTTGCAGTGACCAGAGACCGTGCCACTGCACTCCAACCTGGGCGGCAGAGTGAGACTCCGTCTCAAAAATAAATAAATAAATAAATAAATTTAAAAAAATTCAGAGTTTAAAAGATTAGTAACAGAAGTAAAAGAACATAATGTACTAGAGAAAGATATATCTCTACCATTGAACTACGCAATACAAGAAATTAAGGATCCTAATTTTCAGGAAGAGGTCAATGAACAAAAGGAAGTCACCTTTTGATAATCTCATATCTATCTACTTCTTCCCCACAAAATTGTACATACTCATAAGTACCCAAAAACTTGCATTTACTTTTAAGCAGCTTAGTGACTTGAGGAAGGCTGGGATTATCCTGACCTATGTTAAGAGCCCTGTTTTGATAAGTGATTTCATTATAAAATACCCAGGATCCTTTATTGCTAAATGCTAAGAGACAAGAGAAATCAATTTATGTGTTCTGAAATCACGTGGGTGATTAGCAAACACTAAAAGAACTAGGTGTAATTAGTATACCTACCAGGAAATCAAAATAACTATGCATTTGCAGATATAGAAAAAAACTAACAAGCGGCCGGGTGCAGTGGCTCACGCCTGTAATCCCAGCACTGTGGTAGGCCAAGGTGGGTGGATCATTTGAGGTCAGGAGTTCGAGACAAGCCTGGTCAACATGGTGAAATCCTGTCTCTACTAAAAATAAAAAAATTAGCTGGGTGTGGTGGCGCGGGCCTGTAGTCCCAGCTACTCGGGAGGCTGATGCAGGAGGATGGTGTGAACCCAGGAGGCAGAGCTTGCGGTGAGCCGAGATTGCACCACTGCACTCCAGCCTGGGCGACAGAGCGAGACCCTGTCTCAAAAAAAAAAAAAAATTGGTAGCCCAAACCAGAAACCCAGAGCCGACGAGCTCAGCAAAACCTCAGCAAAACCTAAGCAGCACAAGAGAAATAAAAGAACAAAAGAAAACTACACGAAGACACATCATTATCACACTGCTTAAAAGAGTAATGGCGAGAGACTCTTAAGGCAGCCACAGAAAACAGGCATACATAAAAGAAACAAGGATAAGAATGACCTTTTCTCAGAAACAATGCACGCTGGAAGGCCACAGAGCAACACGGAAGAACTCACCATGACATACGCCTTCCAAATCGTCACAGCTACTAGGAAGGCAGAAGGATTGCTTGAGGCCAGGAGTTTGAGGCTGCAGTGTATCACAATAGTGCCTGTAAACAGCCAGGGGGCACTGTAGCCTGGGCAACAGAGCGAGACCCCGTCTGCTAAAAAAATTTCTCTGGCCGGATAGTGCCACTACACTTCAGCCTGGGGGACAGAGCAAGACTCCATCTCAAAAACAAAAAAATACCAAAAAAAAAAAAAATTTCTCTGGCCGGGCATGGTGGCTCACGCCTGTAATCCCAGCACTTTGAGAGGCTGAGGTGGGTGGATCACGAGGTCAGGAGATCGAGACCATCCTGGCTAACAAGGTGAAACCCCGTCTTCACTAAAAATACAAAAAATTAGCCAGGCGTGATGGCAGGTGCCTGTTAGTCCCAGCTACTCGGGAGGCTGAGGCAGGAAAATGCTGTGAATCCGGGAGGCGGAGCTTGCAGTGAGCCAAGATTGCACCACTGCACTCTAGCCTGGGCAACAGAGCGAAACTCTGTCTCAAAAAAAAAAAAAAAAAAAAAAAAAAAATTTCTTGGCCAGTTGTGGTGGTTCATGCCTGTAATCCAGCACTTCGGGAGGCCGTGGCGGGTGGATCACGAGGTCAGGAGTTCGAGGCCAGCCTGGCCAACATGGTGAAACCCCGTGTCTACTAAAAATAAAAAAATTAGCCAGATGTGGTGGTGCGCACCTGTAATCCCAGCTACTCAGGAGGCTGAGGCAGGAGAATCACTTCAACCAGGGAGGCGGAGGTTGCAGTGAGGTGAGATTGTGCCATTGCACTCCAGCCTGGGCAAGAGAGTAAGACTCCATCTTAAAAAAAAAAAAAATTCTTAATTTAATTTAAAAAGAAGAAAGAAAATAAAGTACCGAAACATATGAACTGTCAATCTAGATTTCTATGCTCAGCAAAAACCTCTTTCAAAAATAGGTCAACAGAAAGGCTTTTCCAGACATAAAACCTAAAATACAAAAAATAAACAAAAACAAAAAAATCACTGGCAGACCCCATTACGTCTTTTTGTCAGAAGGAAAATTACAGAAACTTGCACTAGAAAGAAATGAAAAACATTGGAAATGCTAAGTATACGGAAAAATACTAACCAATTTTCCTATTACTTGAGTGTTTAAAGTAAAATAACAATGTATTTTGAGACTTACACCATATGGAGAAATAACATACATGACTACAATAGCATAGAGGCCAGGAGAGGAGAAACAGAAATACAGGTGCGCCTCAACTTACAATGGGGTTAGGGTCCAATAAAAACATTGTAAGTTTAAAATGTCGAAAATGTATTTAATATACTTAACCTACCAAACATCATAACTCAACCTAATCTACCTTAAATGTGCTCAGAATATTTACATTAGCCTACATTTGGGCAGAATCATCTAACACTAAGCCTATTTTTAATCAAGTGTTGAATATCTCATGTAATGACTGAATACTGTAGTGAAAGTGAAAAATAGAATGGTCATATGGGTACTCCAATTACGGTCTCTACTGAATGCATGACACTTTCATACTATCAAAAGGCGAACCATCGTGAGCCAGAGACTGCCTGTATATTGTTGTAAGACTTTTATGAGTGAAATGGTATAATATTACTTATTTGACCCTAATCATATCAATAACTGCATTAAATGTAAATGTGTTTAATGGAACTAAAAAAAGGGAAACCCACTGGTATACACTGGAAAGCACCAGTTTCAGAACATCACTACAACCAAGGGGGATATAGTCCCAATGAGTGACAAGTGAGTACAGGGTGTCCACAGTAAGTCTAAAATGGAAGCGTCCAACAGTCTCTGCCCCAGGGACCCTCGGAACTGACCAGTCAAGGCCCCACACTGAGAAAAAACTCCAAAAATGGAATTAAAATTAGTAGGATAGGAATAAAAAAGATGAAGGAAAAAGATAAAAATGAGAGAGAGGAACAGAACCAGAAAGTCTCAGAAAGCAAGTTCCCACAGTTGTGAACACTCTGAAAACTACAGAAAAGGGAGCACAGACATTAGTACAACTACCCTGAGTCACATCTTCTAAGTTTAGAAAAACTGAATTCAAATGAAAATGAACAGGCTGGGCGCGGTGGCTCACGCCTGTAATCCCAGCACTTTGGGAGGCCGAGGCGGGCGGATCATGAGGTCAGGAGATGGAGACCATCCTGGCTAACACGGTGAAGCCCTGTCTCTACTAAAAATACAAAAAATTAGCCGGGTGTGGTGGCGGGTGCCTGTAGTCCCAGCTACTCGGGAGGCTGAGGTAGGAGAATGGCGTGAACCTGGGAGGCAGAGCTTGCAGTAAGCCGAGATCACACCACTGCACTCCAGCCTGAGTGACAGAACAAGACTCCGTCTCAAAAAAAAAAAAAAAAAAAAAAAAAAAAAAAAAAAAAAAAAAAAAAAAAAAAAAAAGAACAGAAAAAGTACTGAAGTCAAATCCCAAAAAAATTATTTTAATAAGTTGCTATAAAAGCATACTCCAAACATGCCCAAAAAACTATTACCTAGTATTTCAAAATGAGGTGAAAGATATTTAAAAAATGATAGAAGCAAGAAAAGAACAAAAAATTTAGAAAAGCTCAGTAAAGGAAAACTAAACTACAAGGAGCCTAATAATGAATAACTACAAAAAAAAAAATTTAAGGAGGAGGAAATGCAGTTTTTTTTTGTTTGTTTGTTTTTAAAGAGATAGGGTCTCACTCTGGGGCCTTGCCATCTTGCTCAGGGTGCTTTCAAACTCCTGAGTCCAAGTAATCCTCCTGCTTGGCTGACTTTTTTTTTTTTTTTTTTGAGATGGAGTCTCGCTCTGTTGCTAGGCTAGAGTGCAGTGGCATGATCTCAGCTCACTGCAACCACTGCCTCCCGGGTTCAACAAATTCTCCTGCCTCAGCCTCCCGAGCAGCAGGGACTACTGGCACATACCACCACACCCAGCTCATTTTTTGTATTTTTAGTACAGATGGGGTTTCACCATGTTGGCCAGAATGGTCTCCATCTCTTGACCTCATGATCTGCCTGCCCTGGCCTCCCAAAGTGTTGGGATTATAGGCGTAAGCTACCGTACCCAGACAATTTTTTTTCTTTTGAGAGAGGGTCTCACTCTATCACCCAGGCTGGAGTACAGTGGTGCGATCTCAGCTCACTGTAACCTCCACTTCCTGGGCTAAAGTAAAGTAATGCTCCCACCTCAGCCTCTTGGGTAGCTGGGACCACAGTTGCACACTACCACACCTGGCTAATTTTTTTGTATATATATATATATATATATATATATATACCTTTTTCTCAGACAGAGTCTCGCTCTGTCGCCCAGGCTGGTGTAATCTTGGCTTACTGCAACCTCCGCCTCCCGGGTTCAAGCAATTCTCCTGCCTAGGCCTCCTGACTAGCTAGGACTACAGGAGCACGCCACTATGCCCGGCAAATTTTTTTTGTATTTTAGTAGAGACGGAGGTTCACTGTGTTGCCCAGGCTGGTCTCAAACTCCTGAGCTCAGGTAATCGGCCTCCCTTAGTCTCCCAAAGTGCTAGGATTACAGGCGTGAGCCACCGCGCCTGGCCTAAGAAGGGATTAAATGAGAATTAACTACATTAATCCTTGTATTTTTTAATAAAGATGATGTTCCGGCCAGGTGCGGTGGCTCACGCCTGTCATCCCAGCACTCTGGGAGGCCCAGGCAGGCAGATCACGAGGTCAGGAGATTGAGACCATCCTGGCTAACACAGTGAAACCCCGTCTCTACTAAAAAATACAATAAATTAGCCGGCAGTTGTGGCGGGCACCTGTAGTCCCAGCTACTTGGGAGGCTGAGGCAGGACAATGGCTTGAACCTGGGAGGCGGAGCTTACAATGTGCGGAGATCCAGCCACTGCACTCCAGCCTGAGCAACAGAGCGAGACTCCGTCTCAAAAAAAAAAAAAAAAAAAAAAGATGATGTTCCACCATGTTGCCCAGGCTGGTCTACTGTATAATCTACCCACACTGGCCTCTCAAAGTGCTGGGTCTGGTGTGAGACACTGCACCCAGCCTTAAAACTTATTTAAATCACAAATAAGCGAATACTTAAAAGATCTGAAGTTAGTCACTTTCTTATACACTGGCAATGAACAAATGGAATTCAGAATTAAAAATACACCATTTACACCAAAAAAAAAAAAAAGAGAGAGAAAGAGGAATAAATCTAACTAAATATTTACAAATTATATATGAGGAAAACCACAAAATTCTGAAGAAATCAAAGAACTAAATAAATGGAGATATTCTATGTTCACAGATATGAAGACACAATACTGTCAAGATGTTCTTCCTAATTTGATATATAGACTAAACAGAATCCCAAAGTCCCATTTAAATTCAGCACTTCTGCCCTGTGAAAGACACGGTCAAAAGAGTAAGACAACCCACAGACCGGGAGATATTTTTGCAAAAGACATATCCGCATTTTTTAAAAGTTTAAAAAAAAAACTCTTAAAACTGAACAATAGGAAAACAACCCAATTTAAAAACGGGCAAAAGATTTGAACACACACCTAACCAAAGCAGATATACCCATGGCAAAAAAGCATATGAAAAGATGGCCAATATATATGCCATTAGAGAACCGCAAATTAAAACAACGAGATACTGCTACACACCTATCAGGATGGCAAAAAAATCCAAAACACTAACACCACCAAATCCGGAAAAGGATGTGCTGGTAGGAGGGCAAAATGATACAGCCACTTTAGAATACAGTTTGGTACTTTTTGGCAAAACTAAACACACTATTCCCATATAATTCAGCAATCATGCCTCGTTGGTATTTACCCAAAGGAGCTGAAAACTTAATGTCTACACAAAGAACTGCACACAGATGTTTATAGTAGCTTTACCAAAAATTGCCAAAACTTGGAGGCAACCAAGATGTCCTTCAGTAGGTGACTGGGTAAATAAACTGGTACATCCAGACAATGGAATATTACTCAGTGCTAAAAAAGAATGAGCTATCAAGCCATGACAAGACACAGAGAAAACATAAACATCTATTACTAAGTTAAAGAAGCTGGCTGGGCACAGTGGCTCATGCCTGTTATCCCAGTGTTTTGTAAAATTAAGACAGGAAGATCACTTGAGGCCAGGAGTTAGAGACCAAGCTGGGAAACACAAGACCCCTGTCTCTACAAAAAATTAAAATATAAAAACTTGCCTTTAGCTGGGCATGGTGGCATGCACTGTAGTCCCAGCTACTTGAGGGGCTGAGGAAGGAGGATTGCTTGAACCCACGAGGTCGAGGCTGCAGTGAGCCGAGATGGCATCACTGCACTACAGCCTGGGTGACAAAGTGAGATCCTGTCTCCAAAACAAAACAAAACAAAAAAGCCAGGCATGGTTGTGTGCACCTGTAGTCCCAGCTACTCAGGAGGCTGAGGCAGGAGGATCACTAGAGCTCAGGAGTTTGAGATTATACCACTCCATCCAGCCTGGGCCACAGAACAATGATATCTTATCTCAAAACAAATAGATAAATGGGACTTAATTACATTAAGAAGTTTCTGCACAGCAAAAATAATAATAATGATAATTAACACTACAGAATGAGAGAAAATATTGGCAACTACACATCTGACAAAGGGTTACTATATAGAATCTACAAGGAACTCAACTCAACATGAAAAAAACAACCCTAGGCCAGGCACGGTGGCTCACACCTGTAATCCCAGCACTTTGGGAGGCCAAGGCAGGCGGATCACAAGGTCAGCAGATCGAGACCATCCTGGCCAACATGGTGAAACCCCATCTCTACTAAAAAAAAATACAAAAAATTAGCCGGGTGTGGTGGCGGGTGCCTGTAGTACCAGCTACTCAGGAGGCTGAGGCAGGAGAATGGTGTGAACGTGGGAGGCAGAGCTTGCAGTGAGCCGAGATGACACCACTGCACTCCAGCCTGGGCAACAGAGTGAGACTGTCAAAAAAAAAAAAAAAAAAAAAAAAAAAAACCCTAATAAGTGGGCAAAGAACATGAAACAATATTTTTCAAAAGACAAATTGCCAACAAATACGAAAAAAATGCTCAACATCAATAATCATCAGAGAAATGCAAATTAAAACCACAATGAAATACCATCTTACACCACTCAGAAAGGCTACTATTAAAAAGTCAAAAACAACAGATGCTGGCAAGGATGTGAAGAAAAAGGAACGCTTGAACACTGTTGGTGGGAATGTAAATTAGTACAACTTGTATGGAAATCAGTATGGAGATTTCTCACAGAACTACAAATACAACTACCATTCTATCCAGCAGTCCCACTACTGGGTATCCCCAAAGGGAAAGAAATCATCATGTCAAAAAGATAACCTGCACTCGTGTATTGTAGCACTATTCACAATAGCAAAGATACGGCCTCAACCTAAGTGTCCAACAATGGATGACTGGATAAAGAAAATGCAGTGTATATATACACCAAGAAATACTACTGAGTTATAAAAAAGAATGAAAGCATATCTTGTGCAGCAACCTGGACAGAACTGGAGGCCGTTATCCTAAGCAAAACAACTCAGAAACAGTCAAATACCGATGTTCTCACTTACAAGTGGGAGCTAAACAATGGGTACACATGCACATACAGAATGGAAAAACAGACACTGAAGATTCCAAAACACGGGAGGGCGAAAAAGGTGAAAAA
The DNA here is from genome assembly GCF_000001405.40 of Homo sapiens. NCBI lineage: Eukaryota > Metazoa > Chordata > Mammalia > Primates > Hominidae > Homo > Homo sapiens. Next base: position 180,535,298 of record NC_000005.10, on the reverse strand, counting down.
GTTACCTTTTGGGTACAATGTTCACTATTAGGGCAATGAGTACACTAAAAGGCCAGACTTTGCCACTACACAATATATCCGGTAAGAAAACCGTACTTGTGACTCCCTCTGCCCCAGACGCCCCCTTCCTAGCCAGATGGCTGGGTGTGCAGTGTCCTCCACCCCACGAATCAGTGAGCACATCTTCTGCGTCGCCAGGGACTCCGGCCCATGCCATGGTGGATTCCAAGGGCCTCTCGGACCCCAGGGACTCCGGCCCATGCCATGGTGGATTCCGAGGGCCTCTCGGACCCCAGGGACTCCGGCCCATGCCATGGTGGATTCCGAGGGCCTCTCGGACCCCAGGGACTCCGGCCCATGCCATGGTGGATTCCGAGGGCCTCTCGGACCCCAGCGACTCCGGCCCATGCCATGGTGGATTCCGAGGGCCTCTCGGACCCCAGGGACTCCGGCCCATGCCATGGTGGATTCCGAGGGCCTCTCGGACCCCAGGGACTCCGGCCCATGCCATGGTGGATTCCGAGGGCCTCTCGGACCCCAGGGACTCCGGCCCATGCCATGGTGGATTCCGAGGGCCTCTCGGACCCCAGGGACTCCGGCCCATGCCATGGTGGATTCCGAGGGCCTCTCGGACCCCAGCGACTCCGGCCCATGCCATGGTGGATTCCGAGGGCCTCTCGGACCCCCGCTGCTGAGGCCAACTTCTTGCGCACCCAAAAGGGAATCCTCCAGGTTTGCTAAGATTACATTGTGCCTGGTGATCCTGATCTACTTCAAGTGCCTCCACACCAGACTATTCCTCCCTGTTGGTGGCTGAAATGATACTTGCTGCTACTTTGTCAGCTACGTGTGTGATCTGCACACCAAAATACCATTCATCAATTGGCCCTGGAGTCATTTCTTCCAAACCCTCTTAGCAGTGATCCTCTACCTAATCACCTCCATTATCGACAATGTTGAGAAAGAAAACCACTCCAAAATCATCGCAGGGGTACTGGGCCTAATTGCTAAGGGCCTCTTTGGCTTTAATGCCTACGTCAACCTTCCCCTTTCGGTAGCAAAGATATACAAGATATACAGCAGCCCCCACTGGCCCCACAGATGGCCCAGTGTAGGCAAACTCCCCTCATTTCTCTCTGTAACCTGCAAATAAGTTTTCCATGGAAATAACTCTTCCCTGTCCCAACACCACCACTTCCAACCAACCAATTCCCACCCCCCTATAGAGGTAAAAGTGCCTTCATTGGGAGAATATTGTCTTCCAGCCTGCCAATCAACCCTGATGGGTGTGGCCACCTTTATGGGTATGCTTAGGTCCTGCTTCTGCAGTATCCAAAAGGAGACACGAGTTTTGCCTGAACCATGCCACCACCTAAGCCATAAAGTGAGGGAGGAGGAAGCCTTAGATTTCAGAGTCCAGGCCCCAGGTGGTGACCCACTCCAAATAATCTCCTTGGTGTGAGTGGTGGTTCTATGGAGGGATAAATAAATAATAAACAGATTGTTAAAATATAAAAAAGAAAACTGTACTTATACCTCCTAAATCTATAAAAATGAAATAAATAAGTTAAAGAAGCCAATCTGGGCTAAGTAAGTTGGCTTATGTCTGTAATACCAGCACTTTGGGAGGCTAACGCGGGAGGACTGCTTGAGGCCAGGAGCTCAAGACCAGCCTGGGCAACAAAGGGAGACCCCTATCTCTAAGGAAAATTTTTAAAATGTTAGCTGGGCATGGTGGCATGAGTCTGTAGTCCCAGTTACTCAGGAGGGTGAGGTGGGAGGATCACATGAGCCCAGGAATTCAAGGATACAGTAAGCTATGTATAATCATGCCACTGCATTCCAGCCTGGGCAACAGAGCAAGACCTCATCTCTAAATAATAATAATAACAATAAATTAAGAAAGGTTACTTTAGAGGCGTCTCCCCTCTTCCTTCCTATGTTGTATTACGGTGATATATATATATATATATATATATATATATAGGTTTTCATCCATGGTTCCTGGTTCCTAACTCCCATAGTCTTTGTTATAATGTTAGAGTGCTTAAGGCCTCAGGAAACAGGATCTATGACCTTCTCCTATCCTCCTTTCCCCTGCCCAAGGCAGGACTCTAATCTCACTGTGGGTCAGAAGACCGTCATTCCAGAGAGGGTCCTGCCCCATACCTTAGAAGAAGGAATGCTACACAGCCCAAGAAAAGTCTGAGCAGACATGCCTTGCTTGTCTAATAATCACATTTCTACAGCTGTCAACCATGCCTATGTAATGAAGCCTCCATAAAAACCCGAAAGAACAGGGTTCAGAGAGCTTCCAGATAGCTGAATGCACGAGGTTCCTCCTGAAGGGTGGTGTGCCCAGGGAGGGCATGGACACTGCACTTTTTCCCCTACACCTTGCCCTGTGCATCTTTTCATCTGTATCCTTTGTAATATCCTTTATAATAAACTGGTAAACGTAAGTAGATGTTTCTCTGAGTTCTGTGAACCACTCCAGCAAATTAACTGAACCCAAAGAGGGGGTCGTGGGAACCCCAACCTGAAGCTGGTCAAAGCTCTAGAGGCCCAAACATGGGACTGGTGATAGAAGTGGGAGAGGGCAGTCTTGGGGACTGAGTCCACAAACCGTGGGATCTGATGCTACCTCCAGGAAGACAGTGTTGGAATTGAATTGGAGGGCACCTAACTGGTGTCTGCTGCTTGCTGTGTGGGGAAAAGAAACCCACACCTTTGGTCACAGAAGTCTTCTTTTGTGTTGATGACTGTGGTGGTGTGAGAGCAAAGAAAAAACATGGGTTGAGGGTTTTTCCCTATATGTGTATACAGAACTTCTTCCCAAAGTTCAGGGTAAGCAGAGAACAGTGACTCAAAGTCACCAAGGAGTTCACAGCATGTGGTGGAAGGAGGAGAGGGTGGAGGAGAATCTCCTCAGCCTCAGAGATGTATCTCAATGACCTGAGTGCTTTCTTGCGTATCCTAATGCTGTAAGATAGGGGACACTTCCTTACAAGCAAAGGAATTGTAATGCAAAAACTGCTAATAAGGGCTGAAAAAAGGAGAGGTAAATATAGTCAAATGCCAATCCTGAAAAAATTAAAAGGGAAAAATAGGAGTGGTGACTGACTGTGCTTTGAGAATAACTACAAAATTAGTGCATATTTCTCTTTGGGCTCCCCTGGCACAGAAAGCCAAATCTGACAGGTGAGAAGAAGAGAAATTTCACTCTCCATGACCACACCTACTTACTGAGCTGAACTTGGTTTAATAAAGTCCAGCATTCTAGAAATCAGAAGAGGGGTCCCTCTCCCTCTCCCCGGTCTCCCTCTCATGCCACCAAAGTTGTGAAAGCCGAGGCTGGACTGTACTGCCGCCATCTCGGCTCACTGCAACCTCCCTGCCTGATTCTCCTGCCTCAGCCTGCAGAGTGCCTGGGATTGCAGGCACGCGCCGCCACGCCTGACTGGTTCTTGCATTTTTTGGTGGAGACGGGGTTTCGCCATGTTGGCCGGGCTGGTCTCCAGCTCCTGACCCCGAGTGATCTGCCTGCCTCGGCCTCCCGAGGTGCCGGGATTACAGACGGAGTTTTGCTCACTCAGTGCTCAATCTTGCCCAGGCTGGAGTGCAGTGGCGTGATCTCGGCTCGCTACAACCTCCACCTCCCAGCCGCCTGCCTTGGCCTCCCAAAGTGCTGAGATTGCAGCCTCTGCCTGGCCGCCACCCCGTCTGGGAAGTGAGGAGCGTCTCTGCCTGGCCGCCCATCGTCTGGGATGTGAGGAGCCCCTCAGCCCGGCCGCCCAGTCTGGGAAGTGAGGAGCGTCTCTTCCCAGCCGCCATCCCGTCTAGGAAATGAGGAGCGTCTCTGCCCGGCCGCCCATCGTCTGAGATGCGGGGAGCGCCTCTGCCCCGCCGCCCCGTGTGGGATGTGAGGAGCGCCTCTGCCCGGCCGTGACCCCGTCTGGGAACTGAGGAGTGTCTCTGCCCGACCGCTACCCCGTCTGGGAGGTGAGAAGCGTCTCTGACCGGCCACCCCGTCTGAGAAGTGAGGAGCCCCTCTGCCCGGCAGCCGCCCCGTCTGGGAAGTGAGGAGCCCCTCTGCCTGGCAGCCGCCCCGGCCAGCCGCCCCAGCTGGGAGGGAGGTGGGGGGCGCCTCCGCCCAGCCGCCCGGTCTGGGAAGTGAGGAGCCCCTCTGCCCGGCCGCCACCCCATCTGGGAGGTGTACCCAACAGCTCATTGAGAACGGGCCATGATGACAACGGCGGTTTTGTCGAATAGAAAAGGGGGAAATGTGGGGAAAAGAAAGAGAGATCAGATTGTTACTGTGTCTGTGTAGAAAGAAGTAGACATGGGAGACTCCATTTTGTTCTGTACTAAGAAAAATTCTTCTGCCTTGGGATGCTGTTAATCTATAACCTTACCCCCAACCCCGTGCTCTCTGAAACATGTGCTGTGTCCACTCAGGGTTAAATGGATTAAGGGCGGTGCAAGATGTGCTTTGTTAAACAGATGCTTGAAGGCAGCATGCTCCTTAAGAGTCATCACCACTCCCTAATCTCAACTACCCAGGGACACAAACACTGCGGAAGGCCGCAGGGTCCTCTGCCTAGGAAAACCAGAGACCCTTGTTCACATGTTTATCTGCTGACCTTCCCTCCACTATTGTCCTATGGCCCTGCCAAATCCCCCTCTCCGAGAAACACCCAAGAATGATCAATAAAAACTAAAAAAAAAAAAAAAAAAGAAATCAGAAGAGGGAAAACAGGAGAGACCCGTGTGTGTACTGACCTCTACTATGGCTGCAAAGGCAGGCATTTAAGTTTACTCAACAGGTTAACCAGAAATTTTGAGCTGACAAAGGAGGAATGCTATTATCCTTATTTCCTTTTTGCTTCCTGTTATATAGCACTTTTATACCTAGATTTGTTATGTTTTGTCTATTAGTTATTTATACTTGTGCACTCCCTCTCACTCCCTAATGTCATAAGCTCCATAAAAAGCGGGACTTTATAGATCTTCCACGCACGTGGGCCAGCGCCAGGTAAAATGTTTTACACACAGCATATGCTCAGTATGTCTGCTGCATTAAATTTTTAAAAATCAAGGGCGGTCAGGTGAAAGACGACAAAATTTGTTCTGTACTATTTTAGAAGGCAAAAATCAGAACAAACTGAAAGGAAAGTAAGGGGAAGCATAATAGGCCAACAGTAACACAAAACTTCATTAGCACTGGTTGCCCTGAGAAGTAATGTCCCTTCACCATCTTCAAAATATTTAAAAAGAGACTGTGTGCCCACTGGCAGAGATGCTGGGGAAAGGATATCCTTCACATCTGAGGGCTCATATATTTCTTTGAATATGTCCAGATTGCATTAAAAGGGGAAGGGAAATTTGAGATCTTCTTCAAACTCTTAAGATTTTGTGTTTCTGAATAAGGCTGTCCTCAGTGACTCAGACTCAGAAGCCAATGAAGAAAATAAGGAGAAACAAACCTACCCAAAACCTATACAGATCAGCCATTCCTACCCCACCAGAAATCTATCATTGACAATGCAAAAGCTCAATCCTACTTTATCAGAGAATCAAATACCAGAACAAATACGTGACTGGGCACTAGCACTTCACATGTGTTATTTTCATTTCATCCTTGTTATTATTTTACATTTATGTATTTTGTAAGAGGACACTGATACTGAGAAAATATTCAATGAATGGCTTTTGAACTTTGACTCAAATCATATTCTTTTCATTGAACCTTCCTGCTTCTAAGATAAGTTACTAAAATACAATCATTTATAAATACATTACATTTGTAAAATATAAAATCAATGTTTCTTTCCTGTATTGGCATTAGAAAACTCAGTTTACTACCATATCTTAATTTCCATACCATAAATTCATGCTTCCATGTCTTACCACTTATTTCAAGCTCTGCCCAGTGGGATTTCTTTCCATTTGCTGCTTCCTCAGAAGACATAATTGTATACATCCTCCGAGGGTCAGGGGGCTCGTATTTTTCTTTGGGCATGCCTGTTAAGAAAAGAAACCAATCAGTATTCTAAAAAATCAAATAAACAAAAGCCACAACACCTTTTTTTTTTTTTTTTGAGACGAAGTCTGACTCTGTCACCCAGGCTGGAGTGCAGTGGCACGATTTTGGCTCACTCCAACCTCTTCAAGCAATTCTTCTGCCTCAGCCTCCCAAGTAGCTGGGACTATAGGCGTGCACCACCATGCCGGGCTCATTTTTGTATTTTTAATACAGACGGGGTTTCACCATATTGGCCAGGCTGGTCTTGAACTCCTGACCTCATGATCCGCCCGCCTTGGCCTCCCAAAGTGCTGGGATTACAGGAGTGAGCCAGCATGCCCGACCCACATCTTTTAAAAGTGGACACCCATATTACAATCTCTACCATTTCCCACTGAAAGAAACTAGGAGCTTCTTGCAGAAATTGATTATTCCAAGCACAGGACAAGACAGATACAAACAAGCTGTGAAGCTAACAAGGGTGCAGCAGCTGTGGGGGACACAGAAGCCAGCTTGAAGAAGCTTCCACTGACCAACTATGAGACAATCTGAACATCAGAAAAATGACTGCAACTGAGTCATCATGAACTTCATGAATTCATAATTTTATCTAAAAATCAAAAAACTCAGTCACCTGAAAATTAGAAAATAAAAGAATCGGCCAGGCATGGTGGCTCACGCCTATAATCCCAGCACTTTGGGAGGCCGAGGCGGGTGAATCACGAGGTCAGGAGATTGAGACCATCCTGGCTAATGTGGTGAAACTCCATCTCTACTAAAAATACAAAAAAAAAAATTAGCCGGGCATGGTGGCAGGCGCCTGTAGTCCCAGTTACTCGGAAGGCTGAGGCAGGAGAATGGCGTGAACCCGGGAGGTGGAGCTTGCAGTGAGCCAAGATCGTGCCACTGCACTCCAGCCTGGGCAACAGAGCGAGACTCCGTCTCAAAAAATAAATAAATAAATAAATAATAAAAGAATCAAACATTTATCCTGCATTTCTGGCAGAAACTAGGTGAGTGACTGTTTTTAACAGAATTCTAGCTAATAAATCCAAAAAGAGTTACATAATTAGAAAATAATCAGTTTACAATCTCTAAGAAAATAATGGATCTAGGCAATGATCAATGGTTAATAAAACCATTAAGTGTGAAAAAAAATCAGTGGAAAATTTTTAAATGGATAGTCAGGCTACAACAGTGGTTCCCAACCTTTTTGGCACCACGGACCAGTTTCGTGGAAGACAATTTTCCACAGATTTGGGGAGGGTGGGGTGGTTTCGGGATGAAACCGTACCATCTCAGATCACCAAGCATTAGTTAGATCGCATCATAAGGAACGCACAGCCTAGGTCCCTCGCATGCGCAGTTCACAAGAGGGTTTGTGCTCCTATGAGAATCTATTGCTGCTGCTGATCTGACGGGGTGGACCTTGGGCAGTAATGCTTGCTCACGTGCCGCTCACCTCCTGCTGTGCGACCCAGTTCCTAACAGGCCATGGACGAGTACCAGGGTTGAGAACCCTTGGGCTACAAGACCTAAACCCAATGATCAGTCTCATCGTTAGGACAACCAGACATTACGTGCTTCCCAATAAGACACCATGAGAAGTACACATAAACCACCTATGTCCTTGACCCCTCACCAACAAAGTTAAAAACTGAACCTGAATCAAATCCAGCCTCTCTAGATCTGATACTAGTTTACACAAAGTAAGGGATCTAGAGGAACGTGTTTAAAATAACACCACAGGACACAACCATGTGAACGTATTTAATACTACAGAACGTTACACTTGCTTATGTAGTAACTATCATGTTGTGAATTTTACAATTAAAAATTTTTTTAAAGTAAAAATAATACAAGAATACAGACATCCAGACGCAGAATACAGAAGTTCTAGATGACAAAAGACCAAATATCTTGAACAAATCAATGGTCTGAAAAAGAGGAGTAAAATGAAACATATGGAATAAATGACTTAAGAGGCACAGCAATCAAATGCAATGTACAGACCTTGTTTAATTCCAACTTAAACAAATCTGGTTTTTCTGATTTTGAAAATGAGAGAAACCTGAAGATAGACTAAATATCAGTTAATATTAAACAAGTATTGTGATTCAGGCACAGTGGCTCATGCCTGTAATCCCAGCACTTTTGTGAGGCTTGGGCCCAGGAGTTTGAGACCAGCACCACCCTGGGCCCCATCTCTTACCAAAAAAATTAAAAATTAGCCAAGCATGGTGGTATACACCCATAGTCCCAGCAACTCAGGAGGCTGAGGTGGGAGGATCGCTTGAACCCAGGAGGTTGAGGCTGCAGTAAGATGTGACTGTGTCCCTGCACTCCAGCCTGGGCGACAGTGAATCCTGTCTCAAAAAAAAAAAAAAAAAGTTTTACGGTTGTATGTGATTTTTTTAAATTCTTGTCCATTATAGATACATTCTAAAATATTTAGGTGAAATAAAACATCACTCCCATGCATATTCCCTCAAAGCCCTTGTTCTTGTCTCGCTTTTATTCTTTTGGATAAATCATAATCCTGGTTTAACCAATTGTCTACCTACTCTGTATACCCATGCAGCTAAACATAGCTGGAGAAAAGCCTATGACCATGTAAGTTTAAAGTGAGCCAGTCAGCAATCATTCCTCAGACTCTGTATACTGCCCAGAAATAATACTGTAAATTCCTAGTCTATCCCCTTCTCCTAGATGACTTCTGTCTTCAAACCTCTAACACCTACTCCTCCATCCTCCCTCTCAGCTGATGACCTGACTTTCGCAGTGAAACAGAATGCCAGAAGGGCCCTTTCTACGAACTCCCACCTATGCCCATCTATCCCTGCCCTTAGCACGTAAGCCATTTGTGCAATTCGATCCACCCCCTCATTCTGCCTATTCAAGGACATTACTCTGGCAATCCCTTCCTTCCTCTCATCACATTATGCCTCCCTCCTGGATCTTTACCTTCAGCACACATATATGTGCTATTCTTTCCTCTATTAAAAAGTCTTAAGTTCATTTCTCGCTCCAGCTACTTTGCTTCTCTCATTCTCTCTATAGCAAAAACAATCCTCAGGAATTGTGTATGTTCTCTGCCTTCTCCTCCCAGTTAAACCCATTCAAGTTCGTAAGTGTTTTCAACCTTTCACCAAAAACTATCAAGAAGAAACCCAGTAGCCAGGCACAATGGCTCACGCCTATAACCCCAACGGCTTTGAGATGCTGGGGAGGGAGGAACACTTGAGTCCAGGAGTTCAAAGCTGCAGTGAGCCATGATCATGCCACTGCACTCCACTCTGAGTAACAAAGCACAACCCTGTCTCTAAAAATATTTTGTTTTTAATTTTTTTTTAAAAGAAGAAACCCAGTGATCTTATATTCTTATTTCCAATGGTCACTTCTCTGACCTCTTTTTGCTTATGATCAGCATTTGATATAGATGATCGCCCCCGCCTAGAAACACACTGCTTGGCTTCCAGGATATCGGTTTTCTTGGTTTTCCTCCTAACTCTTTAGATTTAGTTTTTTCTAGTTCTTCCTGCAGAGTTGCAATTATCTCCATTTTACCAGAAAACAGAAACTCAAAATGGTTTAAGCAATTTGCCCACTGTTACAAGGCTGGGAAACAGCAGAGTCAGGCTTTAAATGAGTCTGATTAAAAGTTAAAGCTACTTTAATTATGCTATGCTGCCTCCCTGCTGACAGGAAATAGAACTACTTTTTTTTTTTTTTTTTGAGACAGGGTCTCACTTTGTCACCCAGGCTGGAGTGCGATGGTGCCATCTCTGCTCACTGCAGCCTTCACCTCCCAGGCTCAAAAGCCATCCTCCCCTCAGCCTCCCGTGTAGTTGGGACTACAGGCATGCGCCACCACACCAGGCTAATCTTTGTATTTTTTTTGTAGAGATTGGTTTTCGCCATGTTGCCCAAGCTGGTCTCAAACTCCTGGGCTCATGCGATCCACCTGCCTCAGCCTCCCAAAGTGTTAAGATTAGAGGCATGAGCCACCGCACCCGGCCTACTTTTCAAACATAGAAATGGGTTTTGACTGTTTAATCAAAGCACAGAAGGAAGTAAGTAATCCTAAAAAGCTTCTTAAGAATATAAATGGTGAGATAAAACAAACTGGTCTTATACGTTAGTTTCTTCAATATAGAAATATAATAACTGCTGTTTTTAGACGGATAAAAAAATATTCAATACAAAAGAACAAACACAAAGAAGTGCTCCTTCTGTCTAGAGAACCATATGGTAAGGAAAGTGCTCTTTCTGAATGACACGCATGTATCAGTAATAACCTAGAAAATATAAAATGCTCTGTTCTATGCTACCAGAGCTTGATGACAGCATCCCTTAAGATCACCTAAATGCCACTGTTCTGACCAGACTCCACTTACAAAGTAACTATCTGATCTTCATTAGCTTTCCCAGATAGAATTTAATAATGGTAAGAAATTGCTCTGACCAGCTGAGATTAGTATTTTTGTCCTATTAATCATTAGAATTATTGATGAAAGTTCAGAAGTCTGATTTATCAATCTCATGTAAGCTTAGTGTGAATCAATGTTCAGTTTGATCATACTTCAGGAAGTGTTACTGGACTAAGAAATCTGAAAACCATGCCCTGTACCTGTGGTCATTCTATCAAACAGTCTTGATTTCCACCTAGGCAGCCAACCATTCCCTTTCTTGGTTTTTCGTATTGTGAGACTGGCTGTCTTAAAATTTAAAGTACTCATCATTTTAAGCCCCAAGGCACTGAAGATCTCTTCAGTGCTTCTCTATTTTCCAAATCTCTGAGATTGAGAATTAGGAAGTAAAAAAAAAAGGCTAGAATAAAAGAAACATAGCAAATTGGACATATGCCCACTGAAAAACCCAATCCATTTTTCTGGGAGTCTAACAAAGTATAGCACTGCAGATTAGGTAAAGGAAAGGATATAGGAATACATGCAGTTTAGGATCTTTCCCAAGGCTGTGAAATCAACAAGTACTTCTTGCTCTCTAAAAAGTATAGTATGTCACTGAAGATTACTACCTAAAATAATAAAAGTATTCCAAAAAACACCTGAAAACTTTCAAGAATTACAAAAGAATTTTTTTTAAAATAGCTAGGCCAGAGTCAAGAGTCAGCAGGCATATAGCACCTAACTAGTTAACATCTTACCAATCAAATGCCAGACATCACTACTGATCCTGGCACAATCAAACAAAAATCTCTACCTGTTTCGGTTCTCAGAGCACTTTTTCATGATCTTAGAATAATTATTTCACTTAAAGAAACACAAAACATTCCTTGTATTTATTAGAAAGACATGCTTTCAGATCTGCTTATGAAACAGCTTAAACATACAAAACCTATGGCCATCCTGGGAAAGTTAGTGGTGCAAAGCAGAATTACAAACCATGAAAAGACTATCCAGGAACATTTAAAGAGCGGCCTGCACGTATACCATAAACTTTGAATGTCTGCCAGAATCTAGAGGGAGAAAAAAAACCTTCAGGAATCCAGTCTACTTCACACTTGCAGAAATGCTGGGGGTTAGCGGGAGCTGGGGATAGGAATCACAGTGAGGGGTTATAAGAGACTTAGCAGAATATGAAGTAAAGTGAAAAGAAATGAAAGTGAAGAAAACCAACTGGAATGAAGATACCCACAAAGACCAAGCAGAAAAAGTTACATTTAAAGCACTTAAATATATTTGAACCTCCTCTGGTTAGGAGAGAGGTGAAAAGAAATAGTTGTTGAAAAGAGAACCCTAAGAAAGGGGGAGAGCCTCTGGTCTATTTTTCAGTCAGGAATCAAACATGTTCAGTGAAATTAGGGACAATCAAACATTTGAGTGTGCCCCTGGGAAAAGGATTTGTAGTTACAAAATAGTAAAAACCAGAACTGAAATCCACCCATCCTAACAGCCCCTAACCAGCAGATATGCCACAACCCCCTGCCCCACCCCAGTAAGCAAAAGAAAAGCCATCTCTACTTAACCTTCAAAATGAACATCTAAGGGGAAAAGAAAAGGGGTACCTGAGAAGCAACTGTAAAAGACAAACTGTTTTTCCTCTATGCTCACACTTAACACAAACGCTTGTGACCAGATGTGTGAAGGTTTTTCCCCACACACCAAGCAATTCTCCAGCATATACCACACACCTGAGTGTCCTATAGCTCAATTCAATCCTGACAGTATCTACCTGGAGTTAGATCCCACTGAGATTATGGGCTGAGTCCCACAATACTGCCCCTCTCTTCTTCAGACACAAGTAAGGTCATCACCCACACTTCTGATGACCGGCTATAAAGCTGGGTTCCCAACACTCCCTCCTGGAGTTGGATTAATTTGTTAGAACGGCTCACAGAATGCGGGCAAACACATTCACTGGTTCGTTATAAGGATATGGTAAAGTATACAGATGAACAGACAGATGAAGTTGTATACAGGGTGAGGAACAGCGCAGGGGTGCAGAGCTTCCATGCCCTCTCCCACCTCAGCCTACTTTGGGAGCTAAGGCAGAAGGATCACTTGAGCCCAGGAGGTCCAGGCCACAGTGAGCAGAGATAACACCACTGCACTCCAGCGTGGGCAAGAGTGAGACCCTGTCTCAAAAAACAAGACATACAAGCAGCCAACAAACATGAAAAAATGCTCCACATAACTAAACAGAAAAATGCAAATCAAAACCACGAGATACCATCTCACACCAGTCAGAATGGCTATTACTAAAAAGATAAAAACTAACAGATGCTGGCGAGGCTGCCCCAAAAAGGGAACACTTATACACTGCTGGTGGGAATGTAATTAGTTTAGCCATTGTGAAAAACAGTTTGGAGATTTCTCAAAGAACTAAAAATAGAACTAAGCCAGGCCCAGTGGCTCACACTTACAATCCCAGCATTTTGGGGGGCCTACGAGGGCGGATCACCTGAGCCAAGAATTCAAGACCAGCCTGGGCAACAAGGCAAAACCCCATCTCTACAAAAAAAAAATACAAAAATTAGCCAGCATGGTGGCATGTACCTGTGGTCCCAGCTACTTGGGAGGATCGTCTGAGCCTAGGACATGGAGTTTGCAGTGAGCTGAGATCACACCACTGCACTCCAGCCTCGGTGATAAGAGTGAAACTCTGTCTCAATAGACAGATAGATACATAGACAGACAGATAAAAATAAATAAATAAAAAACCAGAACTACCCGTTTGGCCCAGCAATTCCATTACTGGTTCTATACCCAAAGAAAAATAAATCTTTCTACAAAAAAGGTACATGCACTGGTATATTCACTGCAGCACTATTCACAATAGCAAAAACATGGAATCAACCTAGCTGCCATCAACAGTAGGCTGGATAAAGAAAATGTGGCACATATACATCATGGAATACTACATGGCCACAAGAAAAGAATGAAATAATATCCTTTGCAGCAACATGGATATAGCTGGAGGCTATTATCCTAAGTGAATTAACGTAGGAAAAGAAAACCAAATACTGTGTAAGTGGGAGCTAAACACTGGGTACATATGGACACAAACATGGGAACAATAAAACTAGGGACTATTAGAGGGAGGAGAGGGAAAGGAGTGCAAGGGCTGAGAATGTACTGACTACCTGTGTGATGGGATCATTTATGTCCCAAACCTCAATGTCACACAATATACCCATGTAACAAACCTGCACATGTACCCCTTGGATCTAAAATAAAACTTGAAACTATTTTAAAAAAGTAATTACTCAGTCTGTAAGTCAGCGCATATACCTTTGAGTATTTACCCAAAAGAAATGAAAATATACACACCCCAAAAGATATGTATATTGCAAAAATAAGTAATTCAAAATCTAGGCTGTTGGAACTTGTTAAATATTTTGAGCCTTAAGAGAATGTGATTATGAAACCTGAGTCACTTAAACAGGCAACTGTAACCTAGGCAGCTGTAGCTTTTGCTTCTCTGATTATAAATTACCTTATTTCTTACCTACATTGTTCTGTAAAATGTCGTAAATGACTAACCAGTGAGTGCCAGGGAAGATGTCTTTCCTCTTCCTCTTAACTGCTGATATTCATTACAGATTAATTTCCCTCTTTCCTCCTCTTTCACACAAAAACTTCATGACTACCACATTTTTGGAAGATGGAATGTGCCAGGCGCGGTGTCTCACACCTGTAATCCTAGCACTTCGGGAGGCCAAGGCAGGCGGACTGTCTGAGCTCGGGAGTTCGTGACCAGCAACACGATGAAACCCTGTCTCTACCAAAAATACAAAAATTATCTGGGTGTGGTGGCGGGTGCCCATAGTCCCAGTTACTCGGGAGGCTGAGGCAGGAGAATTGCTTGAACTCAGGAGGCAGAAGTTGCAATGAGCTGAGGTTGCGCCACTGCACTCCAGCCTGGGCGACAGAAAGAGACTCCATCTCCAAAAAAAAAAAAATAATAAAATAAAATAAAAAATAAAAAGATGGAATGTTAAACACACTCTTGGAAAGAAAAAACAAACAAGCTATATGGAAAAGAAAACAATCTGTAACTAAACTGTTGTAACTCATAAACCCCAACCTTGCAGAGAAAATGTTGTAATCCTATTAAATGTCTTTGTTTCCTGCCTATATAAATAAGCGGCACCTTTTCTTTTTCTTTTGGAGATGGAGTCTCGCTCTGTCGCCAGGCTGGAGTACAGTGGCGTGATCTTGGCTCACTGCAACCTCTGACTCCCTGGTTCAAGCGATTCTCCTGCCTCAGCCTCCCGAGTAGCTGGGATTACAGGCAGGCGCCACCATGCCCAGCTAATTTTTGTATTTTTAGTAGAGATGGGGTTTCAACATGTTGGCCAGGATGGTCTTGATCTCCTAACCTGGTGATCTGCCTGCCTTGGCCTCCCAAAGTGCTGGGATTACAGATGTGAGCCACCGCGCCCGGCCCAGGCCCTTAACTTTTAACTTTGAAGCCCAGATCCCAGTGCTCTGGAGTCCATATTCCCCAGTTAGTCATTCCCAGATGTTCATCTAAAAACTCTTATTTAAAAACTCTTTGAAACTGGATTCTGATCATTTCAATTATTTCAGGTTGACAATATAGTTGTTCATAACAACTTTATTCATAATTGCCAAAAACTGAAAATCTAAATGTTCATTAATAGTATATGGATAGGCTGGATGCGGTGGCTCACACCTATAATCCCAGCACGTTGGCAGGCAGAGGCAGGCAGATCACTTGAGGTCAGGAGTTCAAGACCAGCCTGGCCAACATGGTGAAACCTTGTCTCTACCAAAAATACAAAAATTAGCTGGATGTGGTGGCACATGCCTATAATTCCAGCTACTCAAGGGGCTAAGGCAGGAGAATCCCTTGAATCCAGGAGGCAGAGGTTGTGGTGAGCAGAGATTGAGCCACTGTACTCCAGCTAGGCAATAGAGCGAGATTCCTTTTCAGGGAAAAAAAAAAAAAAAGCAAATGGATAACCAAATTTTAACATATTGACACCACTAAATACTACTGAACAATAAAAAAAAAAAAGAATCGATTAACTGATACACACAAATATGAATGAATCTCAAACATTAAATAAGAGACCCAAGAGATTCCATTTATATGTATTTGTGGCGATAAAAATCAGAACATTTTGCCCCTATAGTGATGGAAATATTCAATATATTAATTGGTGTATGGTTTATATGGATATACATATTTATCAAGACTCAAATTATACATTTAAGGTGTACATGTACATTGCATTTTATGTAAATTTTACCTGAACTAAAAAATATTCTATATTCTAACACTTGGCCAGATGAAAGGACTTTTTCCAGATGAGCAATTACTAAGGAAACATACAGCCCACGAACTTTTGCTAAATAAGTACTCATTATCACATTGTTAATGACATTAATGCAAAAGTTATCAGTATCAAAATGGAGTGACTAATGTCAAGCTCTAACCAAATGGAGACCTCACTATGCAAGGAATTCCTCAAAATGGCAGTGTCCCAGATAACCTGCTTGCACAATTGCCTGACACAGCTTTCTCTACCAATGAACCAACATCAACTCCTGCAATAAGCCCTTGTAACCAACAGTCTTTGTTTCAAAACAACTTACTTGGACTTCCTCTTTGTCTTTAAAAGTTTCCTCTTACCCCAACCTCTCTGGATGCACCTACGATTCCTTACAGCACACGTGTCCCTGATTACAATTCCCTGCTATTCCTGAATAAACTCTGGAAAGTTGGTCTCTCAGTAGCTCATTTTAGCTTCATCTTAGGAACCCAAGACAACCTGGACAATATGGCTCACGCCTGTAATCCCAGAACTTTGTAGGCCAAGGTAGGCAGATCACTTGAGCCCAGGAGTTCGAAACCAGCCTGGGCAACATGGCAAGAACTCGTCTCTACAAGAAAATGTTTTAAACAACTAAATTAAGTTAAATTAAAAGGAACCAAGATTTTCAGAGAAAGAGCGCGTTTATAAATCAAGGAAATTAAACGGAAACACTGGCCAGGCTCATACCAGTAATCCCAGCACTTTGGGAGGCCAAGGCAGGAGGCCTGCTCAAGCTCAGAAGTTCGAGACCAGCCTGGGCAACAAAGGGAGTTCCCTCATCTCTACAAAAACTAAAAAGAAATCACCCAGGTGTGGTGGCACATGCCACCTGAGGCTCAGGACTACCTGAGCCTGGGAGGTCAAGGCTACAGTGAGCTACAATCACACCACTGCACTCCAGCCTGGGTGACAGAGTGAGACCTTGTCTCTCCCTTCCCCCATCAACTCCCTCCTCCCCCCCACACACACAAATACTAAAACTGGCTTGAGAATATCAATATAGACTTGTGATTTAATTTATTTCTATCTACTGAAGTGTTGCAGAAGTAATATTATCTCCGGAATAATGGCACTCCTAAACTCTCAATTTCAAGCTCTAATACCAAGAAAGCAAAGTTCTTTGTAAAATGGCCAATCAAAAGATGGGCAGGAAATGTATAAAATGAGCCTGGGACATCTTTCAGTGCCAAAAAGCTAAGTCTAATGGAGTCATCATGTCAACATGATACAGAAGCCAGCTAGAAGGGGTCCTCACAGGACAAACTATGACCATTTGAGCAGTAAGAATCATAATCACAATGAAATGAAACACACTGAATCAATACAAATCTATGAGAACCTCAAAAAATCAAGCCAAAACAAAAGAGAGATAACATAATCCTTTCTGTGCTGCAAAAAAAGAGCTGGCAATGATGTAAAAGACGAAACTACTATAGTAATCAAGACGAGGAGAGAGGGGGAGATGGGGGAAGAGACAGCATATGGACTGCAAGTCAGTCACTATCTGAAGCAGCTATTACAATATGGAGACACGTAACTAAAAAGAAAGATTTAAGTGGTTACACCTCAGCAGCAACTGGATTCAGTGTAATCAAACAGCCCTCGTTTAAGAAAAGGTCTACTCGGCCAGGCGCAGTAGCTCACGCCTGTAATCCCAGCACTCTGGGAGGCCGAGGCGGGCGGATCACGAGGTCAAGAAATTGAAACCAGCCTAGCCAACATGGTGAAACCCCATCTCCACTAAAAATACAAAAACTAGCTGGGCTTTGTGGCAGGCGTCTGTAGTCCCAGCTACTCAGGAGGCTGAGGCAGGGGAATCGCTTGAACCCGGGAGGCAGAGGTTGCAGTGAGCCAAGATCGCGCCACTGCACTCCAGCCTGGCAAAAGAGAGAGACTGTCTCAAAAAAAGAAGAAAAAAGAAAAAAAAAGCCCTACTTTACAAAACAATGATAGCTAATAAATTAAGTATGAAAGAATTTTTTTCAAGCAACATCATTTTATAATTCCCATTCGACATTATTCAAGGATTATAAAAACGGCCGGGTACAGTGGCTCATGCCTGTAATCCCAGCACTGCAGGAGGCTGAGGTGAGCAGATAGCTTGAGCCCACGAATTCAAGATCAGCCTGGGAAACATGGCAAAACCCAGTCTGTACTAAAAATACAAAATTTAGCTGGGCATGGTGGTACATCCCAGCTACTTGGGAGGCTGAGATGGGAGAATCACCTGAGCCAGGAAAGTCGGGGCTACAGTGGGCAGTGATCACGCCATTGCGCTCCAGCCTGAGCGAAAGGAGTGAAACCCTTAGAAAAAACAAAAAGGATTATACTGGGTTAAAAGCATTAGATGAATATTGGCATTAATGAAATGCTAAAAGCCACCACTACACAGATTCTACATAGATTACTTTCTGATCATAAGGTAGAAAACGTTTAATGGAGGAATAAATTGTTACCCCCTTCACCAATCTTACCAATACTATGGAGGAAGAACCAGATATTGGGGTCTCTTGATGTGGTGCAGTATGAAACACACGTCAGTAATGTTTACACCTTGATTTGAAAACTAGAGGAACTGGCCAAATGACACCAAAGGAGCAATCAGATAAAATGAGAATGTGGGATTTTCTGCAAGTAAACTGGCCTGTTGCCTTCAACAAACTGGTGTCAGCACTATTCTAGATTTGAAGAGAATTAAGGAATATAATCAGATGCAATGAATGATCCCTATGTTGGATCCACAAATCAGCAATAAAAAAAATTTTATGGACAATGAGAGAAGACATTTAACACCTAGTTCATGTTTACATTAGTGATTTGCGTGATGTTACTCTGACCAGGTATAAAAATGTGGTTTTTTGTTAAAAGCCTCTCAGACGTTTAACTATTTATTTTAGTGGGCCAGATTTTCTTCAAGGGAAATGAGACTGAGTTACAGGCAATCTTAACTGACAAGATAATATCCTGAATTTTCCCAGCACTTTGGAGCTGGGCGCGGTGGCTCACGTCTGTAATCCCAGCATTTTGGGAGGCCAAGGCAGGCGGATCACAAGGTTGGGAGATCGAGACCATCCTGGCCAACACATGGTGAAACCCCATCTCTATTAAAAATACAAAAATTAGCCGGGTGTGGTGGCATGTGCCTGTAGTCCCAGCTACTCGGAGGCTGAGGCAGGAGAATCGATTGAACCTGGGAGGCGGAGGTTTCAGTGAGCCAAGGTGGCGCCACTGCACTCCAGCCTGGTGACTGAGCAAGTCTCCGTCTCAAAAAAAAAAAAAAAAATCCTGAATTTTCCCAGCTCTTTGGGAGGCCTGGGCAGGCCAATCACTTGAGCCCAAGAGTTCAAGACCAACCTGGGCAACATGGAAGATCCTGTCTACACAAAAATTAGCCAGGCGTGGTGGTGTGTGCCTGTAGTCCCAGCTACTTGAGAGGCTGAGGTGGGAGAATGGCTTGAGACCAGGAAGTGGAAGTTGCAGTGAGATGAGATCAAGCCACTGCACTCCACCAGCCTGGGTAACGCGGTGAGACCCTGATCTCAAAAAGAAAATTTTTTTTTTTAATCTTGAATTTGACATCTCTCTCTCCTTTTACTATGCTTTTCACATTTTCTTCTTCTCCATTCTTTGTGCTTTACTTCTTTTCCCAACCATAAAGGAGAAAACAAAGAGCAACAGAGGAAAGGAAGGGAGGTAAGGAGGAAGAAATAAACTCACGTGCAGAAAGACCCCCTTTTTTTTTAGTAATCAGGCTCCTTAGAGCTACTGTAAGTTAGGGCGCATATGAAAAGGCAGTGACACTAACTTTCATGCCAATCTACTTCCACTGAAGTTAATACAGACCCTCCTCATTTCTCAACTTCAACTATTACACATCCTCCCCACACTGCCATCGATTACCTTCCTCATATGCACCTGCTCATGCCACTCTCCTATTAAAACTTTAGATGGCCCTGCCTGCCTGCCTAAAGTCCAAACCTCAAAGTCCTCTACTACCTCAACTTAGCTAACTATTTTCTCACTTATCTCCAGCCCTTTGACACATGCTACCCTACAATGTCCTAATTAGAGGAAACCTAGTTCTAAGACTTTGAGACAATGTCTCGCTGTCACCTAAGCTAGAGTGCAGTGGTGCAATCATAGGCTCCTGGGCTCAGGCACCACCACACCCAGCTAATATTTTCTGTTTTTTTCTTTCTTTTTTTTTTTGTAGAGATGGGAGGCATCACTATGTTGCCCAGGCTGGTCTTGAACTCCTGGCCTCAAGGGATCCTCCTGCCTCGACCTCCCGAAGTGCTGGGTTTACAGACGTGAGCCACTGCATCCAGCCTAAAATATAAGTCTTTCAATACATGCTAATCTCTTTATCAAAGACAACCTTCATCCTAAACTCCTACTTTCTCTTCACAGGAACTCAGACGACATGTTACAGCCTCTGTAAGCCCTCCTCAACACGGAAACAAGTTCAGTACTCCCCACTCTGCATGCACACCATACGTTTACCACAGCATATATCACCTCTAAACAGTTTGTATCTCCCAATGTCTTGTGTAATGCCTAGCAAATTACGCTAATGAACTGGTCTATTTTTTTCTTCACAACCAAAATCAGGTTTTCATAGAAAAAAAATCCAAAAGCAATTCAGTACAGTGGAATCATGCTTTCTTAAGGAAGTTTTCTTTACAGAATCATTTATTCAACAAATATTTACTGAGTACCTTCAATGTGACAAGCACTCTGCCAGGCACGATGAATAAAGAATAAATAAGAAATGCATGATCTTACAGCTTAAGCAACTGGAAAGCAAACAAAAACCTCAAAACCATGCACTCACACTACAACTCTCTTATTTTTGCTACCACCACTCTAATTTAGGACTTTAATTCTCATTTCCTCAGCCATTACAATGGCCTCTTCTAATTGGTACTTATGCTTTTAGGATTACAACTAACCTAAATACCACTTAGATTATTCTTCCTAAAGCCAAGTCCTAATTACACTGCAAAATTCAGTAAAACAAGCTCTTTGTGAAGCAGACTTGAAGAAGATGGAGTTTCGCTCTTTCGCCTAGGCTGGAGTGCAGTGGCGCTATCTCGGCTCACCGCAACCTCTGCCTTCCAGCTTCAAGCAATTCTCCTGCCTCAGCCTCCCGAGTAGATGGGATTACAGGCGCCCCCCAACACATGTGGCTGATTTTTGTATTTTTAGTAGAGACGGGGTTTCACCATGTTGGCCAGGCTGATCTCGAACTCCTGACCTCATGATCCACCCGCCTCGGCCTCCCAAAGTGCTGGGATTACGGTGAAGCTGACTTCTGACTATAAAATCGAGAAGTTTCAGCCATATGGTGTGGCTCAAACCTGTAATCCCAGCACATTTGGAGGCCGAGGCAGGAGGACCATTTGATTTCGAAACCAGCCTGGGCAACATAGGGAAACCCCTATCTCTACAAAAAATAAAAATGGGCTGGGCCCGGTGGCTCACGCCTGTAATCCCAGCACTTTGGGAGGCCGAGGAGGGCAGATCATGAGGTCAGGAGATCGAGACCATCTGGCTAACACGGTGAAACCCCGTCTCTACCAAAAATACAAAAAATTAGCCGGGCGTGGTGGCGGGCGCCTGTAGTCCCAGCTACTCGGAGAGGCTGAGGCAGGAGAATGGCGTGAACCCAGGAGGCGGAGCTTGCAGTGAGCTGAGATCGCGCCACTGCACTCCACCCTGGGCAGCAGAGCACGACTCCATCTCAAAAATAAATAAATAAATAAAAATAAATAAATAAATAAATAAATAAAAGGGCCAGGCATGGTAGCTCATACCTGTAATCCCAGCACTTTGGGAGGCGGAGGCGGGTAGATCACGAGGTCAGGAGTTCAAGACCAGCCTGGCCAATATGGTGAAACCCTGTCTCTACTAAAAATACAAAAATTAGCTGGGCCTGGTGGCACGCGACTGTATCCCAGCTACTCTAAGAGTAGGGAAGCTGAGGCAGGAGAATCGCTTGAACCTGGGAGGCGGAGGTTGCAATGAGTGAGATTGTGCCAGACTCCAGGCTGGGCGACAGAGCAAGACTCTGTCTCAAAATAATAATAAAAAATAAAAATAAAAAAAATCAGTCAGGTGTGGTGGCACACGCCTATGGTCCCAGCTACTCAGGAGGCTGAAGAGGGAAAATCGCTGGAGACTGGGAGGTGGAGGCTGCAGTGAGCCTTGATTGTGCCACTGCACTCCAGTCTGAGCGACAGAGATCCTGTCTCAAAAAATAAATAAATGGCCGGGTGCAGTGGCTCAAGCCTGTAATCCCAGGATTTTGGGAGGCCAAGGCGGGTGGATCACGAGGTCAGGAGTTCCAGACCATCCTGGCTAACAAGGTGAAATGCCGTGTCTACTAAAAACACAAAAAAATTATCCGGGCATTGGTGGCGGGCACCTGTAGTCCCAGCTACTCGGGAGGCTGAGACAGAAGAATGGCGTGAACCCAGGAGGCGGAGCTTGCAGTGAGCCGAGATCGCACCACTGCACTCCAGCCTGGGCGACAGAGCAAGACTCCATCTTAAATAAATAAATAAATGGCTGGGTGCAGTGGCTTATGCCTGTAATCCCAGCACTTTGGGAGGCCAAGGCAGGCGGGTCACCTGAGGTCAGGAGTTCAAGACTAGCCTGACCAATATGGAGAAACCCTGTCTCTACTAAAAAATACAAAAATTAGCCGGGCATGGTGGTGCATGCCTGTAATCCCAGCTACTCGGGAGGCTGAGGCAGGAGAATTGCTTGAACCTGGGAGGTGGAGGCTGCAGTGAGCAGACATTGCGCCACTGCGCTCCAGCCTGGCAACAGAGCAAGACTCTGTCTCAAAAATAAATAAATAAGAATAAAAATAGTAATAAAATTTGAATGTTTAGCTGTAATGATTTCTGGTCCTATACCCACTTAAAATGATGATTCTATATCATCCCTTCTCTTCCCCTTTAAGATCTCTACTGCTGAGAAGAATTCAAACTCCGCAGTTGAGAATTCAAAATATTCCACCTTTCCAGACTTCTGTCCCAATATTTCCTTCTATATCTTTTGATGCAACTGGCAGACAAACTGCCATCCTTCAGATACGCTCCACTCTTCCCTATCTCCAAGCATTTAGTGATACCATTTTCACACTGAAATTCTATCTATAATTCAAGGTTAAGTTAAATGTTACCCACCTCCTTCCCACCTAGCCTCCACAGTGGGTCTGCTCACAAGCTGTTTTCTCACAAAACCAGAACCATGAATGCCTTACACAAAGCAAGACTAAACAAAACAATAATGAAGTTTTGCTGAGTATTCTTCAAAGACCATTCTGAAATCCACAGCTTTCACAAGTAGACTAAAATACAATACAACTCATCTTTCCAAAGATCCTGTCTTTATTGCAGTTCATAATTTTCACACATTACAAGAGAAGACAGCTGAATGAAACTACAAATTTCAAAACAGATTAAGAGAAATGAGTTCCAAGCCATGCTTTTGATGGAAAGGGAAGAAGGAAAACAGTGATATGTTAAAAATGGAGCCAGGAGCAGTGGCATATGCCGGTAATCCTAGTTACTCAGCAGGCTGAGGTGGGAGGATTGCTTGAGCCCAGGAGTTCAAGGCCAGCCTGGGCAACAGAGAGAGAACCTGTCGCTCAAAAAAATTTTTTATTTTTAAAATTATTTTTTTTTTCAGATACAGGGTCTCACTCTGTTGCCCAGGCTGGAGTGTAGTAGCACAATCATGGCTCACTGCAGCCTCAACCTCCCCAGGCTCAAGCGGTCCTCCCATCTCAGCCTCCCAAGTAGCTGAACTACAGGTGCAGGCCACCACACCCAGCTTTTTTTTTGAGACAAAGTCTTGCTCTGTCACTCAGCCTGGAATGCAGTGGTGTGATCTCGGCTCACTGCAACCTCTGCCTCCCGGGTTCAAGTGATTCTCCTGTCTCAGCCTCCCGAGTAGCTGGAACTACAGGTGCATGCCACCACACCCGGCTAATATTTTATATTTTTAGTAGAGATGGGGTTTCACTGTGTTAGCCAGGATGGTCTCGATCTCCTGACCTCGTGATCCACCCGCCTCAGCCTCCCAAAGTGCTGGGATTACAGGCGTGAGCCACCGCCCCTGGCCTTTTTTTTGTATTTTGTAGAGACAAGGTTTCACCATGTTGCCCAGGCTGGTCTCCAACTCCTGGATTCAAGCGATTTCCCCACCCTGGCCTCCCAAAGTGGTGGGATTACAGGCGCGAGCCACTGTGCCTGCCCTCCAAAAAATTTAATTATATTTAAAAATGGAAAAGGAATTATCCAAAGAAAGGAAATCAAATTACAAACATATGCCAAAAAAAACCTGCCTGTCTGGACACGGTGGCTCACACCTGTAATCCCAACACTTTGGGAGGCCGAGGCAGGCAGATTACCTGAGGTCAGGAGTTCGAGACTAGCCTGGCCAACATGGCAAAACCCCATCTCTACTAAAAGTATAAAAATTAGCCGGGAATGGTGGCAGGTGCCTGTAGTCCCAGCTACTCAGAAGGCTGAGGCAAGAGAATAGCTTGAACCCGGGAGATGGAGATTGCAGTAAGCTGAGATGGCACCACTGCATTCCAGCCTGGGTGACGAGAGCGAGACTCTGTCGCAAAAAAAAAAGTAACTGTGCTATTTTCCATTATTACAAAACAAAAAGCCCCAAAAGACACTCACCCAAAAATCAGTCCCTCTTTGAATACAATCTAAATGACAATTCATTTATAGGTATATTAAAACTTTTAGATAATGAACATTTAAATGTCATATAAAGACAATAATTTAATAAATGCTATTTTTAAATACACATACTCTGGAATTTCAAATTACAATTATGACTGAGATGGCAGGCCTACCACATTCTTTAATATATTCGCCTGCTGTTTTGCCAAGTGTATGATTTGAATTCTACAAATTAAAAATATGTGCCTGTGCCTCTAGTATAAACAAACCCACTTAGTTCCATTAGACGATAGTCACAAGCCTTTCTCGCAGCCTCAATTCAGTTAAGGCACTTCTACTCTCACTTCAAACCCAAAATCTGCTGCCTCCCAATGTCATCACATTTGTTTGTTTCTCTTTCTAGTCAGGTTTCCTTCACATATTGGCCAGTTAAAAGTTTACGGATAGAAGTCCTGGCTACTCGGAAGGCTGAGGTAGGAGGATAGGCTGAGCCCAGGAGTTTGAGGCTATAGCGTGCTATCATTGCACCTGTGAATAGCCACTGCACTCCAGCCTGGGCAACACAGAAAAACACCATCTCTTAAAAAAAAAAAAAAAAAAAAAAAAAAAAAAAAAAAGGTTTACAGACGATAAACCTCATTTAGGAGCTGTCCTTAGTGGCAAATGTCTATCATTAGTCTTTCCTTGTAGGAAATCAAACAAAAAACAGCAACAACAAAAAGCTTCTGCAAAAGATAACTACTCTTGACTAACAGGCAAAACTTAAATCATAACTACACATTTTGAGACTACTATAAATTGCTGATGATACTATGGCAGGTATCTTGGTATCAGAACCCCGTGATAATCTCCCAAAGCAAACCATATGAATTGCATAGGAGGAATTTAACAAAGAGTAGCTAGTGAAAAAAAAAAAAAAAAAACACCAAGGTATCAAAAAGGTCTTACTAGGCCACGGTAGGAGGATCACTTCAGCCCAGGAGTTCCAGACTGGGCAGCATAGGGAGATCCTGTCTCTACGTAAAAATAAAAAATTAGGCTGGGTGTGGTGGCTCACGCCTGTAATCCCGGCACCTTGGGAGGCCGAGGCAAGTGGATCACCTGAGGTCAGGAGTTACACCAACATGAAGAAACCCCATCTCTACTAAATACAAAAAAAAAAAAAAAATTAGCCAGGTGTGGTGGCGCATGCCTGTAATCTCAACTACTTGAACCCGGAGGCAGAGGTTGCAATGAGACGAGAATCCGCCATTGCACTCTAGCCTGGGCAACAAGAGCAAAACTCCATCTCAAAAAGACAAAAGCAAAAACAAAAAAAATCAGGGCCGGGTGTAGTGGCTCACAACTGTAATCCCAGCACTTTGGGAAGCCAAGGCTGGCAGATCATTTGAGCCCAGGAGTTCAAGACCAGTAACATGGCAAAACCTGGTCTGTAGAAAAAAAAATACCAAAATTAACCAAGTGTGGTGGCATGCCCCTGTAGTTCCAGCTACTTGGGAGCCTGAGGCGGGAGGACGGCTTGAGCCCAGGAGGCGGAGGTTGCAGTGAGCCAAGATCGCACCACTGCATTCCAGTCTGGGTGACAGAACCAGACCTTGTCTCAAAATAAAAAAATAAAAATAAAATAAAATAGGCCGGGCGCTGTGGCTCACACCTGTAATCACAGTACTTTGGGAGGCCAATGCAGGTGGATCACGAGGTCAGGAGTTTGAGACCAGCCTGATCAATATGGTGAAACCTGTCTCTACTAAAAATACAAAAATTAGCTGAGCATGGTGGTACTTGCCTATAGTCTCAGCTACTCGGGAGGCTGAGGCAGGAGAACTGCTTGAACCCGGGAGGTGAGAGTTGCAGCGAGCCAGGATCACGCCACTGCACTCCAGCCTGGGCGAGAGTGAGACTCCCTCTCAAAAAAAAATAATAATAATAATAAAATTAATTAATTAATTAAAATAAGATACATTAGCTGGGCATGTTGGCACACACCTGCAGTCCCAGCTACCTGGGAGAATGAGGTGGAAGGATTGCTTGAGCTCTAGAGATTGAGGTTGCAGTGAGCCATGATGGCACCTGTGCTCTAGCCTGGGTGACCGTGAGACCTTGCCTTGAAAAAATAAAAACATAAAATAAAAAACTTTACTAGGCTGGGCGTGGTAGCTCACACCTGTAATCCCAGCACTTTGGGAGGCTGAGGCAGGTGGATTACAAGGTCAGGAGATCGAGACCATCCTGGCCAACACGGTGAAACCCCGTCTCTAATAAAAATACAAAAATTAGCTGGGCATGGTGGCGTGCGCCTGTAGTCCCAGCCACCCAGGAGGCTGAGGCAGGTGAATCGCTTGAGCCCAGGTAGCAGAAGTTGCAGTGAGCCAAGATTGCGTCACTGCACTCCAGCCTGGGTGAGAGAGCGAGACTCCGTCTCATACTAAAAAAACAAATTATCATCTTGGTCTTCAATCCTGCCCTTTCTCCTATGCTTACACCCAGATTTCCAAACCAAAAATATGAGCATATCCTTGACCCTTCCTTACCTAGTCACAGTCTTCATATCCAGTCTCCAACTCTAGCCCATTTTACTTCCTAAATCTCTCACCCACTCTGCCTTAATTCCCTCAGCTCTTACCTGAGCTATTCCAACAGTCTCACACCCATAGTCTTTCCTCCACCACTCTCCCCATCTCTAATCCATCCTAGATACGGTCTGATATGGTCTGGGTCTGTGTTCCCACCCAAATGTCATGTCAAATTGTATCCCCAGTGCTGGAGGTGGGGCCTAGTGGGAGGTGACTGGATTACAGGGGTGGCTTTTCCCCTTCGGTGCTGTCTCAGAAAGTGAGTTATCGCAAGATCTGGTTGTTTAAAAGTGTGTAGCATCTCCACCCCAACTTCTTCCAGCTCTGGCCACGTGAAGACTACCTGCTTCCCCTTCACCTTCCTCCATGGTTTTAAGTTTCCTGAGGCCTCCCCAGCCACGTTTCCTGCACAGCCTGTGGAACCAAGAGCCAATTAAACCCCTTTTCTTCATAAATTACCTAATCTCACACATTTCTTTATAGCAGTGCAAGAATGTACTAAATATACCGTCCAAAGTGACAGTCCTAGAAATACAAGTACATCATGTTCCTAAAACTGTATCTTTTTTTGTTTTTAAAACGGAGTCTCGCTCTTGTCCCCCAGGCTGGAGTGCAATGGCGTGACCACGGTTCACTGCAACCTCTGCCTCCCGAGTTCAAGTGATTCTCCTAACTCAGCCTCCAGAGTAGCTGGGATTACAGGCACCCACCACCACGCCTGGCTAATTTTTTTGTATTTTTAGTAGAGACGGGGTTTCACCAGGTTGGCCAGGCTAGTCTCGAACTCCTGACCTTAGGTGATCTGCCCGCCTGGGCCTCCCAATGTGTTGGGATTACAGGCGTGAGCCACCACACCGGGCCCCTAAAACTATATCTTGTTCATCTCAATACCCTTGGAAACAGGAAACCCAGGCTCATTTACAAAACAAGTAAGTTGAGTTTGACTTGATCTCTGTATACCTCCTTAGTATCATCTTGGATCTCCCTAATTCCCACTTACCCCTCACAAACCTTCATGCCTTAGCAATGCCATGTCTTCTGCCTGAAACGCCCCAGACACCAAAAGGCCCCTAGTCATCCTTCAAATGCCAACTCAGACATTCAACTTTAAAACATGCATTACAACCTTCCTCCATATCCCTCCCAAACACAGAAGTTTACTGTTTCCAGCTCTGAGCTATGCTAAACCTCGAAAACATGTCTACTGTTGTATTCATTAAACCTGCCTTAGTATTTTTTTATCTCACATTCTGTAACACAGGCTTCTTCCATTTACATATCTTAAATATTTTTATAACTCCAGAGCTTGGCAAATATTCAGGTAATGCTTATATGAATTTAAAGGGAGAAGCCAGGATAGTATAAAAGCAAACATTTTCTAAGAGTGCAAAAGAAGCCTTAAAAGCAGTGCCTATCTTACTAGGAATAAGAAAAACTATTACCTAAAAGGCAAAATCTAGAGAAAATAGAAAGGACTTTAATATCCAAGAGAACTAAAAATACTGGTTCTGGGATAGCCTGAGGTAAGAAGCAAGGGGACAAACTTAAACTATAAAAAATCTATCTTAGTGACACGCTACGGCAAAATAAGAGCAAACATCAAATAGATAGGTGTAATGGCAAAAGTGTGTTGGGCACCTATCTGCCATGCACTGCACTAGGCATATAGTAGCCAACTATTCTGTGAGCACTCATTACCTGCCAGGTCTATCCAGCACTTTACATGCATTATCTCATTTAACCCTCAGAACTCTTGTGAGCAGACACTATTATAATCTTTACATAAAGAAAGAAGGTCCGGAGAATAACGTTCCTGAGGTCACAGGGATACTAAATGACACAACTGTTATTTTAACCCAAGTCTGATTCGAGTTTGTGCTTTCAACTACTATGCAATAATTTACCTGTATGACCTTGATTTAATTCTCACAGCAACCCATGAGGTAGATTCTACCTTTATCTTATAGAAGACGAAACTGAGACCCACAGTTTATGCAATTTACCCAAGATTGCACACTTAGTAACTGAATTGTAGAGCTGGGATTTGAACCAGGGACAATCTGACTCCAAAGCTAGTCTTTCTATTCTACCACAGCCTCATTCTCAAGAATTCTATCACTTGCAAGACCAAGATCTTCTGTTCATTATCC
The DNA here is from genome assembly GCF_000001405.40 of Homo sapiens. Classification (NCBI taxonomy): domain Eukaryota; kingdom Metazoa; phylum Chordata; class Mammalia; order Primates; family Hominidae; genus Homo; species Homo sapiens. Next base: position 180,506,028 of record NC_000005.10, on the reverse strand, counting down.
AAATAATATGTTGCTGGGATCATGAGCCCCTCATTTATGTCTCAGATGCATCATCTTTCCCAAATTAACCTCCTCACCTATACTTTACAGTCCCAAACCCTCCACAATACACTAAGACAGCAGATCTCAAAACACTACCGTCTCGGGACCCTTTTGCAGTCTTAAAAATTAACTAGTACTTGGCTGGGCTCAGTGGCTCAAGCCTGTAATCCCAGCACTTTGGGAGGCCAAGGCAGGCGGATCACAAGGTCAGGAGATCAACACTATCCTGGCTAACACAGTGAAACCCCGTCTCTACTAAAAAATACAAAAAATTAGCCGGGCGTGGTGGTGGGTGCCTGTAGTCCCAGCTACGCGGGAGGCTGAGGCAGGAGAATGGCGTAAACCTGGGAGGCGGAGCTTGCAGTGAGCCGAGATCGCGCCACTGCAGTCCAGACTGGGCGACAGAGCCAGACTCCGTCTCAAAAAAAAAAAAAAAAAATTAACTAGTACCACCTGTAATCCCAGTACTTTGGGAGGCCGAGGTGGGCGGATCACGAGGTCAGGAGATCGAGACCAGGATGGCTACACAGTGAAACCCCGTCTCTACTAAAAATACAAAAAAAATTAGCTGGGTGTGGTGGCGGAGGCCTGTAGTCCCAGCTACTCGGGAGGCTGAGGCAGGAGAATGGCGTGAACCTGGGAGGTGGAGCTTGCAGTGAGCCGAGATCGCGCCACTGCAGTCCAGACTGGGCGACAGAGCCAGACTCCGTCTCAAAAAAAAAAAAAAAAAAAAAATTAACTATTACCGCCTGTAATCCCAGTACTTTAGGAGGCAGAGGTGGGTGGATCACGAGGTCAGGAGATGGAGACCAGGATGGCTAACACGGTGAAACCCCGTCTCTACTAAAAATACAAAAAAAATTAGCTGGGTGTGGTGGCAGAGGCCTGTAGTCCCAGCTACTTGGGAGGCTGAGGCAGGAGAATGGCGTGAACCTGGGAGGCAGAGCTTGCAGCGAGTCAAGATCGCGCCACTGCACTCCAGCCTGGGGACAGAGCAAGACTTCGTCTCAAAAAAAAAAAAAAAAAAAAAATTAACTAGTACCTCAGAACTTTCATTGATGTGGGTTATAGCTATCAATTATCAGTAAGAATCAAATTAGAACTGAGAACTTTAAAAAATATTTATGAACTCTTTAACAGTAATAAACCTATCACATGTTAAATGACATTTTAATGAAAACTATTTTAAAAAACAAAGTAAAATTTAGTGAGAAGAGTGACACTGTCTCAGTTCCGCAAATCTCTTTAAAGTCTGCCCACTAATGTAAGGTATTAAGTCAAAACCATGATTTGTGTAGTAAAATCTCACCAAGATTAAAAAGGTAAGCAGTGGGGAAGTCATCAATCCTAAATCTGTTCTCTTACCATGAGACAAGCAACCACCATTTAGTTTATCACTTCAGCACCTTAATATTTATGCCAACATGAATCTTTGCAGTTTTCTTACCTTTTGCCAGACTTTCCAAAATCTATTTACTGCCCCCGCTCTTGGAATGAACCATAATATTCTAAGTACTACTATCTAGTGGGAATCTTGGTCTTTTGAGCCATTCAATATTTACTCTAGGCTGCCAATTCAGATACACAATGACTTGGGAAGTTGTAATGTATGAGCAATCAGTTTTGATCCACTAGTCTTTTCCCCTTAAAACTACAAAAGAAAATTATTCATAAAATGTTGACCTTACAAAGCATCAAGAAGCCTTTAACAACACCAGAATCTTACTCTAAGGCCACTGATAATGTTTCAGAAAATTTGAAAGCTATACACTGCTTTTTGACTACAGATGTATAACAGACTGCCTTTTCCAAAATAATGAAATGCTTTAGAACTGAATTTTTGACTAGCATGAAAAGTACTCTTATGTGGACTCTTGGGAGGTTTTTGATCCATAACCAAAAAGAGAATCACAAATATTAACAAAGATTCTGCCACTTAGTACTATTATGTCAACATGATCAACTACTAGTGTAAACGGTTATAAATTTGGGCCAACAATTGGGTTTTCCTATATTATCAAATTAACCTCAAAAGACCATTCCAAGTCATAATACCATGAGAGTGTGTTAAGAAGAAAAAGGGGCCAGGCGCAGTGGCTCACGCCTGTAATCCCAGCACTTTGGGAGGCTAAGGCAGGCAGATCACAAGGTCCAGGAGATCGAGACCATCCTGACCAACATGGTGAAACCCTGTCTCTACTAAAATACAAAAAATTAGCCGGGTGTGGTGGCGCACGCCTGTAGTCCCAGCTACTCGGGAGGCTGAGGCAAGGGAATCGCTTGAACCCGGGATGCAGAGGTCACAGTAAGCCAAGATGGCGCCCCTGCACTCCAGCCTGGATGACAGATTGAGACTCTCTCAAAAAAAAAAAAAAAAAAAAAAAAGGAAGTAGGGCACAGTGTCAGTAAGAATACAAACTGGGGCCGGGGGCAGTGGCTCACACCTATAATCCCAGCACTTTGGGGTGCCGAAGCAGGCACATCACTTCAGGTCAGGAGTTCGAGACCAGCCTGGCCAACATGGCAAAACCCCGTCTCTACCAAAAATGCAAAAAATTAGCCAGGCATGGTGGCGCGTACCTCTAATCCCAGCTGCTCGGGAAGCTGAGGCTGGAGAATCGCTTGAACCCAGGAGGCAGAGGTTGCAGTGAGCCGAGATTGCTCCACTGCATTCCAGCCTGGGCTACAAGAGTGAAAACTCCATCTCAAAAAAAAAAAAAAAAAGAAAAATACAAACTAGAGTCAGACCTGCATCAAGTCCTGGCTTGAAATGATGGGTTTACAATCATCTTTAATGCCTAAATTTCCTCACTTATAAATTGGTGGTATCTATGTCACAATTTTGGTGTGAGGATTAAATGAGACACATGTAAAGCAGCAGAGCCCACTGCACCACCGGCATTCAATATCATTTTTTTTCTTCAGTGGCTATGAACCCCTAAATCTTTGAGTTTCTATAGTTTCCATAAAACTAAAAACCAAATGACAATTCTTTAGTCTATAAACTATAGTTATCATTGTCATAATTTTAGATTAACAAAGGAAACTACTGGTCTAAAACATGGCAGTTAGCTTCATCAAATATTGTTTTATGATGCTGAAGTGTTTACTTAACAACAATACATAACCTTACAGAAGAAAAATATTTGCCTCCCAAAAGGCTGAGTGCAATACAATTTTTGATTTAACTTAGTCAAGTCATATCTTCATCTCTGTTTGGTTTTTAATTAGGAGAGATTACTAACACATCTATCTCCGTATAATCAAAATCTGCCTAGTAAAACTATATACAACCACTCAATGCACCTAATCACCTGTAATACTCTGTATTTGGATACACAGAGCCACTGGCTAATTTATTAAGTCTCTATGTGTTTGTAGCAATAACTTGGAAAGAAAATGACCATGTCTAATGATTTCCTCTTTGCTACTATTTTACACTTAAAACCGCATCAAATATTTAACCAAAGTTTGGGCAATGGAGCACAACATAAGTGCAAACCTAGTATATGGCATATGAAAGCAAATCTTATCCTTCTAGTAACTGAAGGCTGAAAATTGTAATATTATGAGTTTACATCAGATAATCTCTACCGCTAATGAGGACAAATCTTCTTCTTCTAGTAACTGAAGGCTGAAAATTGTAATATTATGATTTTACATCAGATAATCTCTATCGCTAATGAGAAAGAGTTTTTTTTATTGTTTTTGAAATCACATAAAATTCCGCAGGCAAAACAATTTTGTATCACCAAATAAAAATGCAATAATTTCAACCAATAGATCAGGGGAACGTTTGGAAACATACACGCAATATACATTATAAATTTATTTCCAAAGTTTTGGACTTAAGGAAACAAAGCTGGTGACTAACACAGGTGCCTACCTTCTCTCGACCCTGTCTCCTCTTTAAACTATTACCCTTCTTTCCTTCTCTTCTAGTTTAAATTTTTGCAAATAGTAGTCTATAACCTTCTTCATCTTAACCTCCCATTTGCTCCTCCGCCCAATCTACTATCTGACTTATATATGCCCTGGTCCCATAAAAATTTTCCCTGCATTCATTCCCCCACCTGTCAAATCCTATCAACCCATTTCCAGATCTCATCCCACCCTAAACCTGGGCACAATGATGACTACTGAAAACTCCTTCTTTCTTGGCACTATGACCTCTCTCGGCATCTGTAGCGTTACTCTCTCCTGTTCTGCCCTTGTCTCTTCAACCATTTCAATGCTGTCCAAAACAAAATATTAGCTGTTCCTTAGGGTTCCCTTAGTCCTCTCCTCTTGTGGTCCATAAGTTTCACACTTGCATATATGCATACTTTCATTCCCTTCAGCAGAGTCCATAATTCTTAACTGATTCTCAAATGGAGATCTTACCTCTGTCAAAAGGGTGAAAAACATTTGTTCACACACTCTTCCTGAGTAATCCCCTAACTTCCAATGCCAACTATACAATGACCAAATCTATCAAACCCCAAACCGCTCTCTGGTCCAGATATCTGTTAGACATATCCACCTAAGTATCCAGGAGGTATGTCAAACTTAACAGGATCAAAAATCAAACTATTCTACTTTCCTCGTCCAAATCTGTTCTTCTGTTTCCCAAGTTAAATCATACCAACAGTTCTCTAAGCTAAACAAGTTCTGAATCATACTCAACTCTTTCCTATTTTTATAGCTCATGGCTAGTCTGTCCCTAATTCTGGTATCCTGTGCTTTTCTATCCCCTATGCTGATGTACTTGAGCTCTCACAGGACGTAAATGAACTCTAACTCCTTTAATCCAGCTTCTACATTTTCATTATGTGCCTCCTGAAAAAGTATGTTACATGAACCACTTGCTCACCCATATCCACCTAAACTCTCACTGGATTTCTATCATATACAGGAAATCTCAACACTTTAAGAAAAACCCTACAACTATTCACAAGCTGTTTCTGACCACTCTTCCTGTCCCTCTCATCCCTGTGTCTTATGCTCCACAGCCCATGTTGTTCCCAATATGCTGTTCCTTCTCCCTGTCCTACTCAACCTAACAAATCCCTATCCATCCTTTAAAATCCAGCTTAAAGACCTCTGAGATGACTCCCTGGGTTTTCCAAGCAGAATGACTTTCTCCTTCCTTAGCATGCCCAAAATGCTTTGTGCTTTCTTAATTACTGTATAACCCGATGAGTACTCTATTGGTTCATTTGTCCTTCTCCACAACACTATAAACCTACTTGGGACAAAAGACTCTAAGCCCCACAAAGGTAGCATGTTACCTGACACATAGATTGTTCAACAAGTATTTTTGAAACTGAGTTATAGTACTATTTAAAACTAGTATTAAACAAGTATAATCAACTATAAAACTTGTTTTGAAAACGTGCATTTGAATTAGCCAGGCATGATGGCAGGTGCCTGTAGTCCCAGCTACTCAGGAGGCTGAAGGAGAATGGCGTGAACCCGGGAGGCGGAGCCTGCAGTGAGCCTAGATAGCGCCACTGCACTCTAGCCTGGGCAACAGAGTGAGACTCCATCTCAAAAAAAAAAAAAAGAAAAGAAAAGAAAAAGAAAACGTGAATTTGGCCAGGTGCAGTGGCTCACACCTATAAACCTAGCACTTTGGGAGGCCGAGGCAGGAGGACTGCTTGAGCCCAGGAGTGTGAGACCAAACCGGGCAACGTAGAGAGACCTCATCTCTACTAAAAATAAGAAAAATCAGCCAGGTGTGGTGGCACACACCTGTGATACCAGGTACTCAGGAGGCTCGGGTGAACCTGGGAGGTCAAGGCTGCAGCAAGTCATCATCACTCCAGCCTGGGTGACACAGAGTGAGACCCTGTCAAGAAAGAAAAGGAAAAGGAAAAGCAAAAGAAAGAAAAAGGGGGGAAAAAAAAAGAAAAGAAAAGGTGAATTTGTTCCACTGTGATTGATACACAAATTAGAGAACAATTTGAGCACAATCCATATTTCCTGTTTATTTATGTGCTATTCTGTCACATAAACACTAGATGAAGGGAGAAAGCTTGCACCCAGCCGAACTGAACTGTGTAGAAATACATGAAACACACTTCAAACACCCACCAGCTAAGTCAGTTTATTATGGGTTAAGAGCCACACCTATTTGCTTCTCGTGTTACAACCTTCCATCTGATTATAAGTAATTCTTCTACCACTTCACAGTAACTCACCAGCAGCAACCTTTCTGACATCCCTTTCCACAAGCAAACCAGGGCTTTTTCAAAGAAAATGCCACATTTATTACAGTATCTATATATTTCTTAACCATTCAACGTGTAAAACTGTTCTATCATTTTTACCAGGTTCCTTTTTTAAATGTGTCACTGATAAAGCTTTAGAGTGCTGTACCCCAACCCCATTTGTAAGTCATTTCTACTGCACGATTCTGCAAAGCAGTGATTTTTAGGAACCTGTATGTTGCTTTACAGCAGAACTGACTGTATAAATTAACAGTTGTATGAGAACTTCTTAGACCTTAAGCTAGTCTCACTATTCCAATTCCAATAATTTACTAGAGAGAAAACTGCCTTCCCCCCAAAATTTCACAAAATGTTTACAACCCATATCCTAGCAAACCATCAGGATACTGGTAACTTTTTAAGCTTGGTGGCTTTGATTTCAAGTGGACATAGGGTTGAATTTTCCAGCTTAAGGTCTATAGCCTGCCTAAGCCTAACTCAGAAGACAAGTATTCTCAACACCTGAACTTTCATGAGTAACATTTTATAACTTTCATTGTTTTGACTGCTTTTAACTTCTTCCAAAACATACTGACACTTTGATTTTAAATGACCCTGTATTATAGAGCAACTGGGCATAGCCCTAAAGTCCCTTAAGGGACCACAGACTCAGAAGACACCATATCCAAGTTAAAAATAGATCCAGGCCAGGCATGGTGGCTCACGCCTGTAATCCCAGCACTTTGGGAGGCCAAGGTGGGCAGATCACTTGAGGTCAGGAGTTTAAAGCCAGCCTGGCCAACATGGTGAAACCCTGCCTCTACTAAAAATACAAAAAAATTAGTCGGCGTGGTGGCAGGAGCCCGTAATCCCAGCTACTCGGGAGGCTGAAGCAGGAGAATGGCTGGAACCCAGGAGGCGGAGGTTGCAGTGGGCCGAGATCGCGCCACCGCACTCCAAGTGAGCCTTCATCTCAGAAAAAAAGAAGAAAACAGATTCAAAGTCACTAACTCCATACTATCTCAAATATACACTTGTAGGGCCTCCACTCTATTCTCCACAGGGATGCCAAAGTGACCTCCAAATCGCCTTGCTCCTCTGCTAACAATATTTTGGCTCTCTCTTCTGCTGTCAGATAAGGCTATACACTTCCCTTTTAGCTTAGCAAGGCTGGTCCTTCAAAATCTAGACCAGACACACCTTTGCAGGCTCATCTCGAGTCATTCCCACTGTTCCAGTAACACCTTATCACTAGCCTTACCCTAACACTTGACACCTCAGTGCACCCACACTTCCTTCTGTTTGACATGACTCCCTCTCCCCAGTTTGGCAAATTCCTATTCAGTGTTATTTTCCGTAAACTGCCCCCACACCCTCCACAAGTTTAATCATTCTCTATTGTGTTCTCCCACAGCACTCTGTGCACCTATGAAGCCTATACACTATGAGAAGGCAAAATCGGAGTATTATTTGTCTTTGAATTCTCAGTGTTAAAACACTATGGCCAGTACATACCTTAACGTGTAACTGAAGTTACCAAGAAAATATAAATGGATGAAGGAGAGGTGAAGGACAGAGAAGAGCGAAGTGGAGACAGCCTAAATGAGTCCTCATCTTGGATCAAATAACCCCCCACCTCGCTAATTACTTATTCAAGTACCAAAATACAGTACATTCCATTATACTCTAATGTACCCCAGCTATGCATACAGTATATGTTTACAGTTTACTCAGCATTTTTTTTTTTTTTTTGAGATGGAGTTTCACTCTTTTTGCCCAGGCTGGAGTGCAATGGCGTGCTCTCGGCTCACTGCAGGCTCTGCCTCCCAGGTTCAAGCGATTCTCCTGCCTCAGTCTCCCGAGTAGCTGGGATTACAGGCATGTGCCACTGCGCCTGGCTAATTTTGTATTTTTAGTAGAGACAGGGTTTCTCCATCTTGGTCAGGCTGGTCTCGAACTCCTAACCTCAAGTGATCCGCCCGCCTCGGCCTCCCAAAGTGCTGGGATTAAAGGCATGAGCCACCGCGCCCAGTCTCAGCAATTCTTAATTTCACATACACAGCGTTTTATTAATCACACTTTTGTTATAAAATGACTGTATGAGTAATGGGTATAAAGATATCTACATATCCAAGTCTTTGGTTTTCCCAGTAAAACATACATTTTTAGCTGAGCCTATTAGGACTTTTCCAAAGTAATAAATGCTTTCAAGCAGAGCTTCCCAAGCCAGTGGACCTTGCATATGGGAATGGGTTCTAAAGGTGCTGAACATACTGATCCCTCACCCCTAACGGCCCAAAGAATACAGCTGTGAGCTGCCTTAACCATTTATTCCAATATGTCTTACATATATTATCCTTTTCTGTTGCACTATGAAAAAGGTTTATCATTTAAAGAATATAAGAAGGCAAATATAGGTACTGGAATGTCTAAGCATTCACCAAAATGCATACTTTTTTTTTTTTTTTTTGAGACGGAGTTTCACTCGTTGCCCAGGGTGAAGTGCAGTGGCGTGATCCTGGCTCACTGCAATCTCTGCCTCCCAGGTTCAAGCCATTCTCCCACCTCAGCCTACTGAATAGCTGGGATTACAGGCATGCGCCACCACACCTGGCTAATTTTGTATTTTTAGTAGAGACAGGGTTTCATCATATTGGCCAGGCTTGCCTCGAACTCCTGACCTCAGGTGATCCACCCATCTCGGCCTCCGAAAGTGCTGGGATTACAGGCGTGAGTCACCGCGCCTGGCATAAAATGCATACTTTTAAACTACATGTACAGTGGGCAAATTCCTACAACGCCTTTACACATTTGTAGTTAGGACCAAGTTCTATAAACCAACCTTATGTCTGCTCAAAAGTTTGAAATTTCCCAATAATTGTAGTTTTACTTTGCCAACAACATTTAAGCAACCTGAAAATACCTACAAATTGAACAGGCATTCAAGAGGAGCCGCTTGGGCTGCATCACCACTATCAAGACACTATGGAAATTACCTAATGATTGACTTTCAGAGAAAATCTTCAGTCTCACAAGAAAATCTGTCTTTCGTCACCGTTTTTATAAAGTGATCAAGACAAGGTCTCACTACGTTGTGACAGTTATCACAGACTTTATATATGTTACTTTATATTTTTCTGAGACAGGGTTTTGCTGGTCTCAAACACCTGGGCTCAAGCCATCCTCCTTCCTCAACCTCCCAAAGCGCTGGGATTACACGGTGAGCCACCATGCCTGGCAATTGCATCATCTTTTTTGATCATTTCGTTCAGCATCTCGTTCATCGACTGAGAAGTGACCTGAAATAACTTCCAACCATTAACATACCCTCCCTCCTCCCAAAAGAACAAACCTCTAGCGATTAGGTCGCACACTCATGCGCTCTCACACGCACACAAACCCGGTCCTTTCCCTCCTCATTACAGTACCATGGGCAAGTCACCTCCACCTAGAAAGGTCTGTCTTCTCATTAGCAGCTGTTCATGTATTTTGTTTAAAGCAAAACACCTGGAGTAGATCACAGATCTAAAGATATTAAGCAATTTTTATTCTAAATTTTACTCTAAAAGTCATCACATTCTAAACACTGTGATGGCCAGGCATGTTGGCTCATGCCTGTAATTGCAGCACTTTGGGAGGCCAAGGAAGGAAGATCGCTTGAGCCCTGGAGTCGGAGACCAGCCTGGGCAACAGAGCAAGGCTCTACAAAAAATTAAAAAATTAGCCGTGGTGGTGTCTGCCGGTAGTCCCAGCTAGTCAGGAGGGTGAGGCAAAAGGATCGCTTGAACCCAGGAGGCGAAGGCTGCAGTGAGCCGAGAACTGTGCCACTGCACTCCAGCCTGGGTGACAGAGTGAGATCCTGTCTCAAAAACAATAAATAAATTAAATAAAGACTGTGATAAATGTCTTAACAGCAATTCCCCAAAAAAGCCTTTAAACCCTTTTGATCAATGGCCCACGTCCACTCCTACAGCCTACTAATCTGTTCTAGAGTAGTAAATTCTAGTATATTGTAAAAAATACAAAGTGCTACTACACACCATTTTATTTTTCAGTTATTCATATTCACTCTCTTCCTCTTCAAAGTTAAATTCCCAGATACAAGTAGGCAAGAAGATTCAGCACTAACAATGAGACAATCCACCTGGAAAACAGGTAAGTATGGGAACTCAAATTGAAGCAGATTATCTAAAACACATCAGCTTACACAGTAACAACAAATCCAAAGAGCTCGAGCGAGATGACCATTCACAACGCTGTCAATGGCAACAACAGTTAAAAACAGAAGGCCACAGGTGTTGGTTAGCAGGCTCTTCGGGGAAGGTGAAGGAGGTAAAGAATCAAAGGAAGTTTCCAAAGAAAATAGCGATTAGTGCTGAAAAACAAAAAGGAGGGATGCAATTTGGGTTACCAGAGAAAACTGCTTGTAGAAACCAGTACAATCTCCGAATCCTTCGCAATACTATAAAATAAGCATCCTCATTGCATGCCAAGTGCTTCTTTAACCTGTAATCCACCCCGTCCTCTCCCTCAAAATCTGCGTTAAACTGAATTTTAAAAACATTTTAGGGGAGGGGGTAAGCAGTTGGTTTCCCGCTTGACAGTAATTGTGGCCACGGAGCGCGAAGCTCCACACTCCACACAGCGCGCCACCCACAGAGGCGCTTCTCAAAAGTTGCCACCCATCTTGGCCACGAGTCCCGGGACACGGACTCGCCTCCTCCGACGACGGCAGCCGGGACCGGCCGGGATCCGGGAGCCCAGCGCCGACCCTCTCCCCTCTGCGCGCCGCCGCCGCCGCCGTCAATCAACGCCCCCCTCCCAGGGACTCGGCCCGGGGGCGCGGCCCGGGGCGGGGCGCGATCGCGGCGCGTCGAAGGGGCCCCCAACAGCCGCCAGCTTGCGGAGCAGCGGGACCGCCGCCCACGAAACGAAAGTTGCCCGCGACCGAGCCCGGCCGACGGGGGGCGGTCCGTGCGCGGCCGGAGAGAGGAGCGGCGCCCCGACCGGGCCTCCGGCCTGCCTCGCTCACCTCTCGGGGTGCGCCGCCTTCCTCCGCCGCTGCCGCCTCCTCCTCCCTGTGAGTGCAGCGGGGTCTGCCCTGTGGAACCACCATACCAGTCCCGCCCGCTGCTGCAGCGCCGCCACCGCCGCCGCTCCTCTGCCGCCTTAGTCGCTGCTCTTTGTTCCCCCTCCGAGAGCCACTGCTTCGGCTGCCCGCCTCAGCCGCCCCGACGGGCCGCCACTACGCCCTCCCGCCCTCTCGGCCCCCGGCCTCGCCCTCCTCGCTGCGCCCGCCGCTGCCTTCGCCTCCGCGCCGCCGTCGCCGCCGCCACCGACGCCGCCGCCTCCTCCTCCGCGCCCCCCTCGTTTTCATTGAAAGCAAACAAGCATCATGGCGGCGGCCGCCGTCCCTCAGCCAGCGAGCGCCCGGACCGCCGCCGGCGCTCCAACATCCTGGCCGCTCATTGGGCGCCGTCGCCGGGCACAACCATCCGCCCTTCGGTGCGGGGGTCGCTCCCGGCACGCAGCTGCCCAGGCCCCGCCCCCTTACCCCCGCGCTGGAGAGCGGTGGACCGGCCCGGCGCGCTGCGGGCCCTGCCTCCCTGCCTGCCGCCCTCCATCCCTTCCTCTCCGTCCATCCTTCGTCTCCTTCTGTTCCCGCTCTCCTCGCTCCTTTCCTGCCTTGGCACTTCTGTTTTCTCCTCTCCTTAGCGCTCCTCCATTTTTCATCTACTTCTTTTTCCGCCCCAGGTTGTCCACTTTTTTTTTGTTTTTTGAGACGGTGTCTTGCTCTTTCACCCAGGCCAGAGTGCAGTGGGGCGATCTTGGCTCACTGCAAGCTCCGCCTCCCGGGTTCACACCATTCTCCTGCCTCAGCCTCCCGAGTAGCTGGGACTACAGGCGCCCGCCACCGCGCCCGGCTCATTTTTTGTATTTTTAGTAGAGACGGGGTTTCACCGTGTTAGCCAGGATGGTCTCCATCTCCTGACCTCGTGATCCGCCCACCTCCGCCTCCCAAAGTGCTGGGATGGCAGGCGTGAGCCACCGCGCCCGGCTGGGTTGTCCACTTTTATCTCCTCTTTTCCTTGATCGTCCTCCCCTTTTTTTCTCCTCTTCCTTTTCCTTAAGCCTTCGCCTGTCAATCACGTCGAAACACAGTATTTGACCGGAGCCAGTATCTTGATCTGCCTAAAGACAAGACATTCAATCGTGAACAGTCGAATATTATTCCTTCCTCAATTATACAAAGAAGAGTAAGTTAACATACCACTTCAGCCTATTAATGGTAATTCATTCCATTACATTAATGGACAGTTTTGGTGCTGGGGTCCTAGCCTGGGTAACGGACAGCAGCTGCTGTGCTCCAAGATCAAAAGGTGTTCAGGGCAAACTCTGGTGTTTGAAGGTCAGCAGAGAAATGACTGGGCTGATTCATGATGCTTACATCAAGAAATATTAGTTGACTGATGGTCAGGGCACAGAGATGAATCAGACCCCACCCAGCCCTGAGTAAGCTCACAGTCTAGGGGCAAGAATAACACCCAACAGACTTAATATTGGAGGTATATTGGTCGGGCGCGGTGGCTCACGCCTGTAATCCCAGCACTTTGGGAGGCCGAGGGGGGCAGATCACCTGAGGTCCGGAGTTGGAAAACAGCCTGACCAACATGGCGAAACTTCGTCCCTACTAAAAGTACAAAAAATTAGCCAGGTCTGGTGGCTTGCACCTGTAATCCCAGCTACTCGGGAGGCTGAGGCAGGCAGGAGAATCATTTGAACCTGGGAGGCGGAGGTTGTAGTAAGCGGAGATCGCACCATTGCACTCAGGCCTGGGCAGCAAGAGCGAAACCCTGTCTCAAAAAAAAAAAAAAAATTTGAGCTATATGTTGAAGGCGTGAAGGAAAAGGAAAGCTGCCTGCCCACCTATGTGGCAAACTAGGATAGGCTGCTAACTGCTTCCTGGAAAATCAACCCTGAAGAAATGAGAGTGAGACAGGTTCCAGGAACTAACAGTAGCAACAAACCGAGGCTTCTGCTTCAGTGAAGGCTGTTGAGAGCTGGGGATGTGGGAAATGGGTTGCTGTTGCCTGGGGTGGAGGAGACCTGGCTGGAAGGGCAAGGAAAGGATGAGGGACAAAAGCTGTTCAGAGGTGAAGATGATCCCCCTCTCCCCAGCACGGCCTTGGGATGGTCATCGCTTGGCACTGCCATGACATCAGGAGTGACAGCCCAGGCCTCTAGCGCCATAGGACACTGGGCAAAGACAGAGCAGTGCAGAAGTTTAGGAGTCAGGAAGAACACATGTAGACCAGTAAGCTGCCTGTGGCCATCCCTCCACAACCTCCTCCTGTACAGCAGGGAGTTGTGCGGCCCTGTGCTGTACAGAGTATCCCAGGCTGAGGGGCCAATGGGACAGACACCCTGCAGGGCCTCTCCTCCCTGTGTGAGTGCCCTGGCCGTCTGTGCTCCAGCCTGGGTGCCTTTTTGTAATTTGGCCAGAGGCAGCTACCTCAGCCCGGTGCGGGGACTCAACGCCTGTAATCCCAGCACTTTGGGAGGCCGAGGCGGGCAGATGACTTGAGGCCAGGAGTTCGAGACCAGCCTGGCCAACATGGCAAAACCCCGTCTCTACTAAAAATACAAAAAAAAAAAAAAAAATTAGCTGGGTGCAGTGGCGGGCACCTGTAATCCCAGCTACTTAGGAGGCTGAGGCATGAGAATCGCTTGAATCCAGGAGGCAGAGGTTGCAGTGAGCTAAGGTTGCGCCATGGCACTCCAGCCTGGGCAACAGAGCAAGACTGTCTCAAAAAAAAAAAAAAAAAAACTCAAACAAAACAAAACAAAAAACAGAGGGAGCAATTCCCTTGTGACTGGCACGACTGTATGGAGGAGGGGAGGTCTTGTTGCACAAAATCTTGGTAGCATAAAGCAACAGTTTTACTGTATCTCATGATTCTGATGTTCACCCTTGGGGCCTCATGCCTATACCAAAGGTGGCAGCTGGGTGTTGAATGTCTGGCACCTCGCTGCCCCCTAACGAGGCCTCCCCCGCAGTGTCTCATCCTTCAGCCTTTGTGTGTGGCCCCTTTCCCCAGCAGGAGGTGATCCTGCACTTCCTACATGACAACCAGGGGCTCCAAGAGGAAAGCGAAGCTGCCAGGCCTTCTGAAGAAGGCCACTTCCTCAATATTCTATGAATTAAAGCAGGCACAAGCCCAAGCCAGATTCAAGAGGAGAGGACATAAGCTGTGGAGGAGCTGCGCGTGCATGCAGGGCGGGGTGGACTAATTGGAGCCCTCTGGGGAGACTTGCTGCCACCAGGAGGGTACGATAGTGGCTCTGCTGTGCATGCCCTTTTCTTTCTGCATATCCGAGGAGAACCCCGCAAAATACCTACTCACCCTTTCAGGCCAGATCAAAGTGCCCCTCATGTTAGGCCAGACCTCCCATTGCAAGTTATAAAACTCACAACTCAATATTTCTTTGCAAGAAGGAGGGAATTGAATTGAAAGAGGGAATGCTGAACCATTCAGGCATTGTAAGGTGGCATCAAGAATCGATCTCACCTCCCACCCTCCATCCTGTTCTCTCTGCAGGCCTCACAAGCGGGAAAGATGCCACCAACACCTGCAGGCTTAGATTCTACCAGCTTCTCCGCTTAGAGAAGGTGCTTCTTTCCTAATGATTCCAGCCAAAGACCCAGGGCAGGCTCTCACTGGCCTGGCCTGGGCCTTGTTTCTACTGCAGTCAGGCAGTACCAAAGCAGGACCAGTCTGGGATTGATACGTGCTAAGCGAGGACAGCATGAATTGGTGGCAGCCAGTGCCATCTTCCCCACCACATGGAGAGATGAGACACTGGTGAAGATGTGGAGTCTCAGAGCAAGGGCCTGACAACTTGTTTCAGTAGTTTTTTCCTTTAGCTCGTGACCTATACCAGAACCTATTCCAGGTATACAAACCAATACTTTTTTTTTTTCGCTTAAGTTTGAGTTTGGCTTCTGTAGCTTACAACCAAAATAATTCTAATTTGACCAGTAAATGCGTTGCACAGAGGGATGCGTCACCAGAATAGGGTCATCATCCGATGTGCACAGCAAGTCAATGCGCCAAGACACCAGGCTGCAGCAGAGGAGGTTTGAATCCTAGGGCCACTGGATGTGGAGACAAGAAGAAACCAAATCTGCCTCCCTGATGAGTTTGGGGCTAGGATTTTCAAGGGTTTTGGAGTGGGCTGAAGAATGGAGATTGCTGGTTTGTCAAGGAGAGCAGGATGAAGCCGTGCTGATTCTCATGCTGATTGGTTCCTTTGGGCAAGGGTTGGGGGTCTTCAAACTGGTTGGCATCACCTGTTCGACTGGAGTTCAGGATCTGCTTGAGCACTTCTTTCATATTTATTTACTTATTTTTGTTTTTTTATTTTTTTCCCTGAGACAGAGTCTTGCTCTGTTGCCCAGGCTGGAGCACAGTGGCACAATCTCGGCTTGTTGCAAGCTCCACCTCCCAGATTCAAGCAATTCTCCTGCCTCAGTTTCCCGAGTAGCTGGGATTACAGAGGCACACCACCACACCCAGCTAATTTTTGTATTTTTAGTAGAGACGGGGTTTCACCACGTTGGCCAGGCTGGTCTTGAACTCCTGACCTCGTGATTTACCCGCCTCGGCCTCCCAAAATGCTGGGATTACAGGTGTGAGCCACTGTACCCGGCCTATATTTATTTATGTTACTGTATTTTTGAGACAGGTTCTCACTCTGTCACCCAGGCTGGAGTGCAGTGGCATGATCACGGCTCACTGCAGTCTCAACCTCCTTGGGCTCAGGTGATCCTCCCACCTCAGCCTCCGGAGAGGCTGGGACTGCAGGCATACACCACACCCCGTTAATTGTTGTTGTTGACATGGGGTTTCACCTTGTTGCCCAGGCTGGTCTCCAGCTCCTGCCCTCAAGCAATCTGCCCGCCTCGGCCTCCCAAAGTGCTAGTATTACAGGCGTGAGCCACTGTGCCAGGCTGCTTAAGTGATTTTTAAACAAAAGCCTTAGGACCCTAACATCAGAAATCCCATCTGTAGTAACAGCGGGGGTGCATAATGGTCAGTGTCCGGAGCTACATGACTTTCTGTTACAAGGAAGTGGGCCTAAGTGCCGCCTGATTAATGCTTAATTATAACTATATTTCTGTCCGGGATTCCTGTTAACTCTGAGAGGGTGGCCTCAGATGGGTGGTTCAGTAATGAAAATGGACACCTAGGTGATGGCCATGATTGTTGATGTTGCCGTGGTGTCTGTCACTCAAACATGACTGGGGCATTGGAATTCCAACCTGGGACTGATGGAGAATGTTGCTGTGGTTTGAATATTTGTCTCCTCCAGCACTCATGAAGACAGAATTAACAATCAAAAGAGAAACAAAGCAGACAAATTTGCAAAACTCAGCCTGGCCATGTAGAATGAAAAAGTGTGTTCAAAAGCAGAAACCAAGGGTGGCCCAGTGGTCTTTCACCAAGATTAGTACAGAGAAAAAGGATCATCAAAGAGCATGGAGCTGGTCACTCACGGTGGCTCACACCTGTAATCCCAGCACTTTGGGAGGACGAGGCGGGGTGGATCACCTGAGATCAGGAGTTCGCGACCAGCCTGGCCAACATGCTGAAACCAACCCCGTCTCTACTAAAAATACAAAAAATTAGCCGGGCGTGTTGGCAGTCGCCTGTAATCCCAGCTACTTGGGAGGCTGAGGCAGGAGAATTGCTTGAACCTGGGAGGTGGAGGTTGCAGCGAGCCGAGATCATGCCGTTGTACTCCAGCCTGGGCAACAAGAGCAAAACTCCACCTCAAAAAAAAAAAAAAAAAAATAGAAGAAAGACCTCTAGGGCATTTTGGAGGTCTTTGAGGCTACACTTGCTGTCACAGGCTCTGAGGCCTAGAGGGCCTAGAGGGCAGAATGGTTTCAAGGGATGGCCCAGTATTGAGAGGTGGGGTCTTTAAGAGGTGATTGGGCCATGAGGACTCTCCCAGGCTGGCAGATCGCTTGAGCTCAGGAGGTTGAGACCAGCCTGAGCAACATAGCAAAACCCCATCTCTACAAAAAATACAAAAAATGAGCGGGTTTTGGTAGATATTGCCAAATGGCTCTTTGAAAAGTCTGTACCAGTTTATATTTCCACCAACAGTGTATAAAAGTCTGTTTCCTTTTTTCAAGTCAACTAAAACTCTGTCTCCGACTCTGTTTCTCTCTGTCTCTTACACATACATGAATAAGAGTCTAAGGGAAATAAGTATTTGAATTTCACAGTATGTATATATGAAGGTAAATAATTCCTCAAAGTTTCTCTGACAATGTTCTCAAGGTTAGGTTACCCTATTTTCTTTAACTGAGGTAAAATTCAGCCCACATGAATGAATGAATTCATTCATGGATTAATTAATGGGTTATCATGGGAGAGGAACTGGTGGCTTTGTAGGAAGAGGAAGACAGACCTGAGCTAGCACCTTCGCACACCCATCCCTGTTGCCATCTGATGCCTTGTGCTGCTTTGGGACTGCAGGGAGTCCCCACCAGCAGGAAGTCCCCACCAGATGTGGCCCCTTGACTTTGGACTTCTCAGCCTGCAGAACTGTAAGAAATAAATTCCTTTTCCATATAAATTACCCAGTTTAAGATACTCTGTTATAGGCAAAAGAAAACGAATGAAGACAAATGTGGACCATTACTGTATGGGTCCAGCAGCTGGATTTGCCAGGGGCCCCAGAGATATGCAGTGTCGATTACAGACTGACCACAAGAACCAAAATGCGCAGGAGAATGATGAATGAAGCAGGTCCCAAGGTTTATTTGCAAGAAAAATTTGAACAGCCGTGTGACAAACCCGCTTCTAGTAGGAAAGCACATTCTAGAGGGAAGCAAAGCCATTCGGAGGTTGTTTGGTGAGTCTGAAATACAGACCTGTGGAGCCATTCAGCTCTTAACAGTCTGACACCTCCTCTCTAGGGCTGCAGGCTTAGTGGCCAAAGACCAGCGCTGGTGACAAAAATTTCCCACTGCCATGCAGTGCCAGAGACATGGACACACCCTGGACATCTGTCTCCCTTTCTCTGGACTTGAGGCTTGCAGGCCACAGTTCTCCTTAGATAGGGCCTGGTATCGTAGATGAAGTTTCAGATCCCAATCATATCTTACCCCTATTATCCTTTGTCCCTGAGCCCATTGTATTAGCCTGCAATTGGCTGAAAACCTAACTCAAACAGCTTTAAGAGGGGGACAAAGGAATTAGTTGGCTCACGTAGCATTAAAAGACCAGGAAGATGGCCAGGCATGGTGGTTCAAGCCTGTAATCCCAGCACTTTGGGAGGCCAAGGCAGGCGGATCATGAGGTCAGGAGATGGAGACCATCCTGGCTAATACAGTGAAACCCCGTCTCTACTGAAAATACAAAAAAAAATAGCTGGGTGTGGTGGCGGGCGCCTGTAGTCCCAGCCACTCGGGAGGCTGAGGCAGGAGAATGGTGTGAACCCGGGAGGTGGAGCTTGCAGTGAGCTGAGATCGCACCACTGCACTCCAGCCTGGGCGACAAAGCGAGACTCCATCTCAAAAAAAAAGAAAGACCAGGAAGAGTCCACTAGCTGCAGGTGTGGCTTGATCTGGGAGCTAATGCCACTCGGTTCTGCTCACCTCCATGGTGACTTTATCATCAGGTGCCACATTCAAGAAAAGGGGATACCATCTCCTTCAAGGTTCAAGCCTGGCAGGAAAGAGAATGTCCCCAAAATGGTCGAACAGAGGTCCTAGGCCTGACTCATTTCCATCTCTGAATCAAACACCATGTTCTGGCATGTGTCATACACCAGTCAGGAAGAAGTCACATGCCCTACTTGTGGAGGCAGATCGTCTTCAGCTGCACTCAAGCATATATGGAAAGAGTTGATGGGGGCCGGGTGCGGGAGCTCATGCCTGTAATCCCAGCACTTTGGGAGGCTGTGGCGGATGGATCACTTGGCGCCAGGAGTTCGAGACCAGCCTTGCCCACATGGTAAAACCCTGTCTCTACTAAAAATACAAAAAATTAGCCAGGCATGGTAGCGCATGCTTGTAATCTCAGCTACTTGGGAGGCTGAAGCAGAAGAATCATTGAACCTGGGAGGCAGAGGTTGCAGTGAGCCAAGATCACACCATTGCACTCCAGCCTGGGCAACAAGAGTGAAACTCTGTCTCAAAAAAAAAAAAAAAATTAGTGTGGAGTAGTCAGAGGAAAATCAGGGATACCGTTGCTGGAAGAAAGAGGAATAGAAGCAGCAAGGAAGAAAGGCAGAGGCCTGAGGTCCACGTAGAAGCAGCAAGGAAGAAAGAGGCAGAGGCCCGAGGTCCACGTAGAAGCAGCAAGGAAGAAAGAGGCAGAGGCCTGAGGTCCACGTAGAAGCAGCAAGGAAGAAAGGCAGAGGCCCGAGGTCCACGTAGAAGCAGCAAGGAAGAAAGAGGCAGAGGCCCGAGGTCCACGTAGAAGCAGCAAGGAAGAAAGAGGCAGAGGCCCGAGGTCCACGTAGAAGCAGCAAGGAAGAAAGAGGCAGAGGCCCGAGGTCCACGTAGAAGCAGCAAGGAAGAAAGAGGCAGAGGCCCGAGGTCCACGTAGAAGCAGCAAGGAAGAAAGAGGCAGAGGCCCGAGGTCCACGTAGAAGCAGCAAGGAAGAAAGAGGCAGAGGCCCGAGGTCCACGTAGAAGCAGCAAGGAAGAAAGAGGCAGAGGCCCGAGGTCCACGTAGAAGCAGCAAGGAAGAAAGAGGCAGAGGCCCGAGGTCCACGTAGAAGCAGCAAGGAAGAAAGGCGCGGAGGCCCGAGGTCCACGTAGAAGCAGCAAGGAAGAAAGGCGCGGAGGCCCGAGGTCCACGTAGAAGCAGCAAGGAAGAAAGAGGCAGAGGCCCGAGGTCCACGTAGAAGCAGCAAGGAAGAAAGGCAGAGGCCCGAGGTCCACGTAGAAGCAGCAAGGAAGAAAGAGGCAGAGGCCCGAGGTCCACGTTCCATCAAGCCTCCACCTTCATGCAACAGGCCTCCTGCCAGCTGCTTCCTTCGGCACTTGTCTCTTCCTGGCCTCACACTCAGTATGTGGAGTCAAGAAGGTGCCTCGAGGCCTCAGAATGCAGGAGACAGAGCTTCCCATGCAGAGTTCAGATGCACTCCCAAAGACTTACCTTAGAGAATTGCTGGGAAGGGGAAAAGGCAGCTCATTTGGTTTTGTTTCTGGTTTTGCGTTTTGTTTTCTGTCTCTCTTTTAACTTCTTTTTCCTTATTCTTTAACACAACATCAAAACTATACTGATGCTTTTTGGTTTTTTTAAGAGATGGGGTCTTACTTTCCACCCAGGCTGGAATGCATTGGAATCCACCCACTTTGGGAGGCTGGGGCAGGCGGATCACCTGAGATCAGGAGTTCGAGGGCAACATGGTGAAACCCCGTCTCTACTAAAAATACAAAAATTAGCCGGGCATGGTGGCAGGCGCCTGTAGTCCCAGCTACTCGGGAGGCTGAGGCAGGAGAATTGCTTGAACCTGGGAGGCATAGGTTGCAGTGAGCCGAGATCGTGCCACTGCACCCTAGCCTGGACGACAGAGTGAGACTCTGTCTAAAAAAATTAACAAATAAAATAAAATAAAATGGTAAAACTTAAAAAGCAGAAAGGCATGATAAAGGAAGTGAATATCTCATCCCTATCCCTATTCCAGCCACACTCCCCAGAGACAAGCATTTGAACTGATAGATTACCATGCGCTGACCTTGAATAACAAACCCGGCGCCCTTACTGACTCCTGTGACGAGAAGTCCAGATACAGGCAGCCTTTAGGGCTGTTTGACTTAAGGCTTAATACTGGTGTCTAAAAGGCCTAGAAACAGGACAAATTTGTTTTTAAACAGCACGTTAAGCACATTTCAAATAATATGCTCTGTATGTCTTTCTTCAACTACTAGACACCGTTTCAGATGAATTAACCTCTAAATTTAAACCAGTGGGTCCGATTGTCAATCGGGGGGAAAAAAGAACCAAACAAAGCTCTAGGCTGTTTAGACAGTCTGCATTGTATTGATTGTACTCCCCCTGGGAGTTTCTGATGGTCGGGTGTGTGGTGTGAGAGGCAGGGGGCGCTGGGGCACCACCGAGCTTGGGTCTGAGCTGCTGAAGGGTGGGTCTGTTTGGCTGCAGTGCCTGGCCAGGGTGGAGTTCCAGGGAGATGCCCCAAGATGCCAACGCCTGCTGGCAGATTAATCACTGATACTCCCCTGGGAGAAAAACATTTTGAGTTGCCCTGCTGCTTATTATGGGATATGACGTATTGGCCGGAGAGCAGGAGGCTGACCTAGGACAGGAATTTTTTTTTTTTTTTGAGATAGAGTCTCGCTGTGTTTCCCAGGCTGGAGTGCAGTGGCGTGATCTCGGCTCACTGCAAGCTCTGCCTTCCGGGTTCACGCCATTCTCCTGCCTCAGCCTTCCAAGTAGCTCGGACTACAGGCGCCCACCACCATGCCCGGCTAATTTTTTGTATTTTTAGTAGAGAGGTTTGACCGTGTTAGCCAGGATGGTCTTGATCTCCTGACCTCGTGATCCGCCTACCTCGGCCTCCTAAAGTACTGGGATTACAGGCGTGAGCCACCGTGCCCAGCCTTTTTTGTGTTTTTTTTTTATTATTATTTATTTATTTTAGACGGAATTTTGCTCTGTCGCCCAGGCTGGAGTGCAGTGGTGCAATCTCAGCTCACTGCAACCTCTGCTGCCTGGGTTCAAGCGATTCTCCTGCCTCAGCCTCCCAAGTAGCTGGGAATACAGGCACGCGCTACCATACCCAGATAATTTTTTGTATTTTTAGTAGAGATGGGGTTTCGCCATGTTGGCCAGGCTGGTCTTGAACTCTTGACCTCAGATGATTTGCCCGCCTTGGCCTCCCAAAGTGCTGGGATTACAGGTGTGCACCACCACACCCAGCCTGGACAGGCATTTATTATGGATATTACCCTTGGAAAGTTTAGGGCATGGTGACTTTTGTTCCTTCCAGATTAACACAATGCTTATTAAGTTTCCAAAAACTGACCTGACTGTCCCAGGATGCCACAACATGCCAGCTGAGGAGTGGCGTTTGTCTCCAGGATACCCGAAGGGGTATTGTGCACTGAACTGGTGGCCTCACATCCACTCCCCTGCCTCTGCAGGCAGTGGGTTAGTCCAGAACCCCCATGCGGGGTCTCCAAGAGGAACATCAGCAGAGCTGAAGGCAAAAATCTGAAGAGATGCAGAGGATGTGGGTCCTCCCAGAGATGGAGGGGGCCACAGGGTTTTATCTGGGAGCCCCGGGACAGGAGTCCCAAGTTTCTTCGTGCATAACTTGATTCACAGGCCACTGTCTGAATTTATTAGGACTCATTCAGTTTCTACAGTAGAAACTGATTTAAAGTGATTTAAGCAGAAATGGGAATTTGTTGGCTCAGGGTAATGCTAGCTGCTCTAATAAACAAATACAAACAAAATCTGTGGGTTGCCACGCTCTCCGTTTATTTCTTGGCTAGCTAGCTGTTGAGGCGTTCTGATTCAGCAGGTGACTTCCCCCGTGTGATTCAGGGACCCAGGTCCCTTCCTTTTACAGTCCTGTCATCCCCTAGGGCAGAGATTCTTACTCCAGGGTCTGTGGACCACCAAGGAATCTGTGGATAGAATTCAGGCAAAGGGACCTGTGAACTCAATTGGGTAGAAATTTAGCACTGTCATTTTGAGCGTAGGTAACAGATCCCAATGGAATGAGCGATCCCCATGACCATCACCAGTAGAAGCCCCAGCCGGATACTGTTGTACCCTATCACAGCTGTGGGGAGATCTCCCCACCCCCAGTTCCTTTTTTGAGATGAAATTCACATGATATAAAATGAACCATTTTAAAGTATACAATTCGGTACTACTTAGTACACTCACAATGGCGTGCAACCACTGCCTCTCTCTAGCTCTAAAACATTTTCATAACCCTAAAAAAGTGTTGGGGTATCCTGAAATATGGGCCAGGTGCGGTGGCTCACGCCTGAAATCCCAGCACTTTGGGAGGCCGAGGCGGGCGGATCACCTGAGGTCAGGAGATCGAGACCATCCTGGCCAACATGGGGAAACCCTCTCTCTACCAAAAATACAAAAATTAGCTGGGTGTGGTGGCAGATGCCTGTAATCCCAGCTACTCTGGAGGCTGAGGCAGGAGGTTGAACCCATGAGGCGGAGATTGCAGTGAGCCAAGATCATGCCACTGCACTGCCTGGCAACAGCGGGAGACTCCATCTCAAAAAAAAAATCATTTTCAGTCATTTGCTACTTAAATGTGAGAGATATTAGATCTACCAAAAGATTTTATTATTTAATATGCTATTATATGCACAAATATTGTTATAATACTTGAAATAGTTTTGTAACTATTTCAATATAACTAGTTCCCTTTGCCATCCTGTGTATTTTACTTTGTGTTTTTAAAATCATTATTCTGAGTGGAGGTCCGTGGGCTTCATCAGACTTCCAGGAGGGGTCACGGCATAAAAAAAAAACCTGGGGAACCCCTGCCCTAGGCTTCAGAGCCCTCTGTATCCAGCTGGTAAAGAGGGAAGAGAGAATAAGAAAGCTCAAGCGCGGCCGGGCGCGGTGGCTCACGCCTGTCATCCCAGCACTTTGGGAGGCCGAGGCGGGCAGATCACCTGAGGTTGGCAGTTCAAGACCAGCCTGGCCAACATGGCGAAACCCCGTCTCTACTAAAAATATAAAAATTAGCCAAGCATGGTCGGGCGTGGTGGCTCATGCTTGTCATCCCAGCACTTTGGGGGGCCGAGGCGGGCAGATCATGAGGTCAGGAGATCAAGACCATCTTGGCTAACACAGTGAAACTCCATCTCAACTAAATATACAAAAAAATTAGCTGGGCATGGTGGCGGGTGCCTGTAGTCCCAGTTACTAGGGAGGCTGAGGCAGGAGAATGGCGTGAACCCGGAAGGTGGAGGTTGCAGTGAGCCAAGATCGCGCCATTACCCTCCAGCCTGGGCGATAGGGTGAGACCACATCTCAAAAAAAAAAAAAAAGAAAAGAAAGCCGAAGTGCTTCCTAACCAGCTCAGCCCAAAGTCACCCACATCACTTCATCTCCTGGCCCATTCGCAAGAACCAGTCATACCTTCCCACCAAAAGCAAAGATTTGGGAAGATTTCCACAAGCCTGGAAATCACTTGCTCAATTCTGTCTGAGCACCTGCTTCCGGCAATAAATCTGTACAGTGGAAGAGAGGGCATGAATTTTGTTGAACAGACAAACGTTTCTGACACAGTCCAAATATCTGATGGCCAGATATCCACATTCACACTTCTTCCAATGAGTAGAACCTAGTCTTCCCATACCCAAGGGAGGCCGCACCTATTGCCGCCTCCTCCTGAGCCTGTCTTCCATCCTGCTGCCTGGAGCAGGGAGTTTGCATCTGGGACCATGAGAATGAGGGCCATGAGGTCAGAGTAAGAATGGGAGCTGCAGGAAGGCTGGTGGGGTCCCGAGCATCTTGTGGAGCAGAGACGGCACAGTACTGTAGGCTGCTGCCACCAGAATCGAGTGGTGCATGTGTGGCAGAAGACAAGGCTGATGCTCTGCCATGCAGAGACTGAGAGCTTGCTGGCCAAAAGTGGACTGAGGGTGTTGGCTTCCAAACCAAGCGGAGTATTTCAAAAATGGCCTCAGATTCGTTAAATTGTGAAACTGGATGACAAGCAGAACACAAAAGCAACCAAGTAAAGGACTCGAGTCTTAACGTTTAAGAGCTGTGTCCAGACAAGATCTTTGGCAATGAGTGCTTTCTTTTTTTTTGTTGAGTCAGAGTTTTGTTCTTGTTACCCAGGCTGGAGTGCAATGGTGCGATCTTGGCTCACCGCAACCTCCACCTCCCGGGTTCAAGCGATTCTCCTGCCTCAGCCTCCCGAGTAGCTGGTATTACAGGCATGCGCCACCACCCTGGCTAATTTTGTATTTTTAGTAGAGACAGAGTTTCTCCATGTTGGTTAGGCTCGTCTCGAACTCCCGACCTCAGGTGATTCACCCGCCTCAGCCTCCCAAAGTGCTGGGATTACAGCCGTGAGCCACTGCGCTCGGCCTTGTTTTTCTTTTTTTTGTATAGATGGGGTTTCACTATGTTGCCCAGGCTAGTCTTGAACTCCCGAGCTCAAGCGATCCACCAGCCTCAGCCTCCCAAAGTGCTGGGATTACAGGCATGAACCACTGCACTTGGCCACTGTAATACAATCTCGAACCCAGAAAGTGGACATTGGTTCAAGCCATAGAGTTTATTCAGATTTTACCAGTTACACATGCACTCATTTATGTGTGTGTGGGAGAGGGGCTCTCTGTGCAACTTTGTTACATG
Source organism: Homo sapiens (assembly GCF_000001405.40). Taxonomy (NCBI): domain Eukaryota; kingdom Metazoa; phylum Chordata; class Mammalia; order Primates; family Hominidae; genus Homo; species Homo sapiens. The sequence goes on along the minus strand of NC_000005.10, from coordinate 180,480,392 downwards.
TAGCTTCAGGTGTCCACCACCATAATCAAGATACTTCCCTGGGGCCGGGCGCGGTGGCTCATGCCTGTAATCCTAGCACTTTGGAAGGCTGAGGCGGGCGGATCATGAGGTCAGGAGATCGAGACCATCGTGGCTAACACGGTGCAACCCCATCTCTACTAAAAATACAAATTTGGTGGAGGCCAAAGTTTTTGTATTTGTAAAAATACAAAAAAAAAAAAATTAGCCAGACGTGGTGGCGGGTGCCTGTAGTCCCAGCTACTCTGGAGGCTGAGGCAGGAGAATGACGTGAACCCAGGAGGCAGAGCTTGCAGTGAGCCGAGATTGCACCACTGCACTCCAGCCTGGGCGACAGAGCGAGACTCTGTCTCAAAAAAAAAAAAAAAAGATGCTTCCCTGGGCCAGGCACAGTGGCTCACACCTGTAATTCCAACACTTTGGAGGCTGAGACAGAAGGATCGCTTGAGCCTAGGAGTTGAAGACCAACCTGGGCAACACAGTGAGACCCTATCTCTACAAAAAATTAAAAATACTAGCTGAGCATGGTGGCACACACCTGTATTCCCAGTTACTCAGGAGGCTGAGGTGGGAGGATCACTTGAGCCCATGAGGTTGAGGCTTCAGTGAGTGACCCATGATCACACCACTGCACTATAGCCTGGGTGACAGAGCCAGACCCTGCCTCAAAAAGAAAAAAAAAGATACTGTGCCATCACCCCAAGATCTATAGCCACACTCACCCCTCCCTCGCCTATCCCTAGCTCTGGTTAATTGCTCTTTAAATTTCTTTCATTTATTTTTTTCATTAAAATTTATTTATTTCTTTACATAACAACTGTTTCGTTTTGTTTGAGACAGGGTCTCGCGCTGTTGTGTTGGCTGGAATGCAGTGGTGCAGTTATGGCTCACTGCAGCCTCCACCTCCCAGGCTCCAGTGATCCTCCCACCTCAGCCTCCTAAGTAGCTGGGACTGCAGGTGTGCACCACCACGTCCAGCTAATTTATTTTTATATTTATATTTTTAATTTTTTTTAGACAGAGTCTCGCTCTGTCACCCAGTCTGCAGTGCAGTGGTGCAGTCTTGGCCCACTGCAACCTCTGCCTCCAGGGTTCAAGCAATTCTCCTGCCTCAGCCTCCGGAGTAGCTGGGACTACAGGCACGTGCCACCATGCCCGGCTAATGTTTGTATTTTTAGTAGAGAAGGGGTTTCACCATATTGATCAGGCTGGTCTTGAACTCCTGACCTCATCATCCACCCGCCTCGGCTTCCCAAAGTGCTGGGATTACAGGGGTTAGCCACTGCACCCGGCCTATTTTTATTTTTTGTAGAGATGGAGTCTTGCTATGTTGCCCAGGCTGGTCCCAAACTCCTGGGCTCAAGCAAAGATTTGGGGCAAGGTGGTGCACACCTGTATGTAACCCTGCTACTGAGGAGCTAAGGCAAGATGATTGCCCTAGCCCAGGAGTTCAAGGCCAGCCTGAGCAACATAGGGAGACCTCGTCTCAAAAAAAAAAAAAAAAAAAAAAAAAAAAAAAAAATTGAAAGACTAAACACTTAACATAGTAAAGATGTAAATTCTCTCCAAAATTGATCTATAGGTTTACCAAAATTTCTATTAAAACCTCAGCAAGATTTTCTGAACACATAAAAGCTTATTCCAAAATTTCTGTGGGAAAGGAAAGGCTCTAGAATAGCCAAACAATATTTAAAAAGAATAAAGTGGGAGTAATCACTCTTGCAGATGCCAAGTCTTTACTATTAGCTACAGTAATTAAAACAGTGTGGTACTGGAAAAGAGATGAGTCACATTGATCAGTGAGACAGACAGAGAACCCAGAAATAGATTTATACAAATATACCCAATTAATTTTTTGTTATTGAGACAGGGTCTTGCTCTGTCGCCCAGGCTGGAGTGCAGTGGCGCGGTCTTGGCTCACTACAACCTCGACCTTCTGGACTCAAGCGATCCTCCCACCTCAGCCTCCCTTTCACAGCCCCAGTAGCTGGGACTACCAGCACGTGCCACCATGCCCAGCTAATTTGTATTTTTAGTAGGGATGGAGTTTCGCCAAGTAGGCCAGGCTGGTCTCAAACTCCTGGCCTCAAGCAATTGTCTTGCTTCAGCCTCCCAAAGTGCTCGGATTACAGGCGTAACCCACCTTGCCCGGCCTACTAAATTAATTTTTGATGAAAGAAGAAAGTAATTCAATGGAGAAAGGGGCCACCTTCTCAATAAATGGTGCTGGAGCAATTATACATTCATCTTGCAAAAATCCCACAAAAAAGATCCTGAACTAATCTTCCCATCTTCTACAATTTTTTTTTTTGAGATGGAGTCCCGCTCCGTTGCTCAGGCTGGAGTGCAGTGGCGCGATCTCAGCTCACTGCAAGCTCCGCCTCCCAGTTTCACGCCATTCTCCTGCCTCAGCCTCCTGAGTAGCTGGGACTACAGGTGCCCACCATCACGCCCGGCTAATTTTTTGTGTTTTTAGTAGATGGGGTTTCACTGTGTTAGCCAGGATGGTCTCAATCTCCTGACCTCGTGATCCGCCTGCCTCAGCCTCCCAAAGTGCTGGGATCACAGACGTGAACCATTGCGCCCGGCCTACAATTTTTAACTTATAATGGACCTTGGACTTAAATGTAAAATTACAGGACATCTAGAAAAAAAATAGGAGAAAATCTTCAGGACCCAGTCTAGGCAGAGTTGTTAGACTTGACACCAGAAGCACCATCCATAAAAGGAAATGTCAATTAATTGGACTTCATCAGAATTAACTTTTGCTCAATGAAAGACTGTTAGGAGTATGAAAAGACAAATTATAGACTGGGAGTGGATATTTGCAAGTCACATATCTGACAAAGGCATTGTATCTAAAATATATAAAGGACTCTGTAATCCCAACACTCTGTGAAGCTGCCGTGGGTGGATCACCTGAGGTCAGGAGTTCAACACCAGCCTGGCCAACACGGCGAAACCCCATCTCTACTAAAAATACAAAAATTAGCCAGGTATAGTGGTGCGTGCCTATAATCCCAGCTACTCAGGAGGCTGAGGATGGAGAATTGCTTGAACCCGGGAGGCAGAGTTTGCAGAGAGCCAAGATCGTGCCACTGCACTACAGCCTGGGCAACAGAGCGAGACTCCATCTCAAATAAATAAATAAAATAAAATAAAGAAAGAACTGTCAGACCTCAGTATTAAAAACACCAACAATCTAATCTGAAAATATACAAAAGGTATGTATAGGAATTTCATCAAAGAGGGTATACAGATGGCAAATAAACACCTAAAAAAAGTTCAGCATCGGCTGGGCATGGTAGCTCACGCCTGTAATCCTAGCACTTTGGGAGGCCGAGGCGGGCAGATCACGAGGTCAAGAGATCGAGACCATCCTGGCCAACATAGTGAAACCCCATCTCTACTAAAAATACAAAAAAAAATTTTTTTTTTTGGTGGTGTGCGCCTGTAGTCCCAGCTACTAGGGAGGCTGAGGCAGGAGAATCGCTTGAACCTGGGAGACGGAGGTTGGTAACTCTGTCTCAAAAAGAAAAAAAAGAATAAAAAAAGTTCAGCATCATTAGTCAGTAGAAAAATACCAATTAAAACCACAATGAGCTATCACTATATACCTTTTAGAATGACCAAAATAAACAATAGTGATAACACCAAATGCTGGCAAGGATGCAAAGAAACAGTTTAACTCACACATTGCCAGTGAGAATGTAAAATGATACAGCCAATCTGGAAAACATTTTGGCAATTCCTTTCAAAACTAAAAATGGAGTTACCATACAACTCAGTAATTATATTCTTTGGCCTTTGTCACAGAGAAATGAAACCTTATTTTCGTGGAGAAAATTGTACATGAATGTTTATAGCAGTTTCATTCATAATATCCCTAAACTAGAAACTACTCAGATATCTTTCAACAGACAAATGCTTAAACAGACTGTCATGCGTCCAAACCGTGAAGCACTACTCAGCAGGTAAAAAGAAAGGAGCCATCAAGACACACAACAACGGGGATGAGTTGCATGAACATTACGTGAAGCACTACTCAGCAGGTAAAAGGAAAGGAGCCATCAAGACACACAACAACGGGGATGAATTGCAAGAACATTATGCTGAGCCACTCTCAAAAAGATACAAGCGGCCGGGCGCGGTGGCTCACGCCTGTAATCCCAGGACTCTGGGAGGCCAGAGCGGGTGGATCACAAGGTCGGGAGTTCGAGACCAGCGTGGCCAATGTGGTGAAACCCTGTCTCTACTAAAGATACAAAAAATTAGCCGGGCATAGTGGCACATGCCTGTAATCCCAGTTAGTCAGGAGGCTGAGGCAGGAGAATCGCTTGAACCCAGGAGGTGGAGGTTGCAGTGAGCCGAGATCGCACCACGGCACTTCCAGCCTGGGCGACTGGGTGAGAGTCCATCTCAAAAACAAACAACAACAGAAAAAAACAGCTGGGCATGGTGGCTCACATCTGTAATCCCAGCACTCTGGGATTCTTTCTTCAAAGAAATCCACACCAAGACACATCATAATTAAACTTCTGAAAACTATAATAATATAGTAATAACAATTAATAAAAATAATTTCTTTGTGCTCTCCCCAATTCTGGAATCTGTAGGTTTATGCCTTTTGCCAAGTATGAAAAATTTTCAGCCATGATTTCTTTGAATACCTTTTTTTTTTTTTTTTTTGAGATGGAGCCTCGCTCTATCACCAGGCTGGAGTGCAGTGGCACGATCTCGGCTCACTGCAACCTCCACCTCCTGGTTCAAGCAATTCTCCTGCCTCAGCCTCCTGAGTAGCTGGAATTACAGGTGCACCCTACCACGCTCAGCTAATTTTTGTATCTTTAGTAGAGACGAGGTTTCACAATGTTGGCCAGGCTGGTCTCGAATTTCTGACTTTGTGATCCACCTGCCTTGGCCTCCCAAAGTGCTGGGATTACAGGCCTGAGCCACTGCGCAAGGCCGGTTTTTTTTTGTTTGTTTGTTCGTTTTTTTGTTTGTTTGTGTTTGTTTGTTTTTGAGACAGGGTCTGGCTCTGTCGCCCAGGCTGGAATGCAGTAGCGTGATCTTGGCTCACTGCAACCTTTGCCTCCCAGGCTCAAGGGATTCTCCCACCTCAGCCTCCGAAGTAGCTGGGACTACAGGCGCATGCCACTATGCCCGGCTCGTTTTTGTATTTTTTGTAGAGATGGGGTTTTTGCTATGTTACCCAAGCTGGTCTCAAATTCCTGGGCTCACGTGATCTGCCCACCTTGGCCTCCTAAAGCGCTGGGAGTACAGGCCTGAGCCACTGTGCTGGCTCTGGGATCCTCAATCCTATTTCAGGCTTCTGTTTCAGCAGGCAGCTGCCCAGGTTAGCATGTAGGTTCTGTCTACTTGTGGGCTTCAGTTCTGAAGGCAGTTTAGTTTTCTGAGCCCTCGCGATGTTAGTCTCCTGTGCTTTGTTTTTCTGGTGCCACCGGGGCACCCTTTCAGTCCCTGCTGGTGGGAGCAGGAGCACATCCCGGGTTGGCCCGGTGTTGCTAGATGACTTGCATGGGAAAAAGGGGCAGACGCCACTGGGTAGGGGGCAGGGAGACATGAGGCTTTGCAGATGCTGCCCCTGCAGAGCCCACCAGTGCTTTGGTGGTAGAGCAGGGTGAGGGACTCTCCCAGGCTTTGCTGCTGCTGAGGGCAGATGGCACCGTGCCAGGGTCCTGCGTGTGGAGTGAGAGCTGGGGTGACCAGGACGGCCGCTTTGCCGATCCCAACAGATTGTAGGACCCAAGGTGTGGGGCAGGGGCTGGGTCTTGAGGTTTTAATCCTGTTTCTCAGCTTTCCCCTCTTCTGGATTAGTTTACATTGTCGGAACTCTAAGTCAGTTATGGCTCAAATATCTACTTTTCATCTTCCAAACTTTCTTGTCCTTTCCCCCTCTCTGTTCTCCCTAGTTTCCTTTTGTGCGTTTCTTTGCCCATCCCCACTCCTTTACTATAGTTTTTGTGGCGTTTTGGGGATGAGAGGCTGTAGAGAATATGCCATACTAAACAGAATTCTTTCTTACAGTTTTTAATTTCCTGTATATCTGTGGTTATATCTCTTTCCTCATTCCTGACATTGTCTGTATCTGTTGCTTATTTTTCCCCCTTAAAGTTAGACTTGTCAGAGTTTTGTCTATGTTACTATATCCTTTTAATTAGCTTTAAACAATTCTTATCTCTTAAATTTTTTTTTTTAGTGGAGACGAGGTCTCACTATGTTGGCCAGGTTGGTCCTGAACTCCTGGCCTCAAGTAATCCTCCCTCCTCAGCCTCCCAAAGTGCAAGGATTACAGGTGTATGCCACCGTGCCCAGCCAGAGCTCTCTTTAACATAAGTATTTTGCTGGTGTATTTTATTGGCATTTTAGAAAGTACTCATTTATGGATGCTACTTTTGTATTTCTTTCTTTCTTTTCTTTTTTCTTTCTGTTTTTTTTTTTCAGGGTCTCACACCCAGGCTGGAGTACAGTGGCTGCAATCATGGCTCACTGTAGCCTGGACCTCCCAGGCTCAAGTGACCCTCCTACCTCAGCCTCCTGAGTAACTGGGACGATAGGTGTGCGCCACCACACCCAGCTAAGTTTTAAGTTTATTTATTTTTTATTTTGAGACAGAGTCTCACTCTGTCACCCAAGCTGGAATGCAGTAGCACAATCTCAGCTCGCTGCAAACTCTGCCTCCCGGGTCCAAACAGCTTCCCAAGTAGCTGGGATTACAGGCGCCCGCTGCCATGCCTGGCTAATTTTGTATTTTTAGTAGAAACAGGGTTTCGCCATGTTGGCCAGGCTGGTCTCGAACCCCTGACCTCAGGTGATCTGCCTGCCTTGGCCTCCCAAAGTGCTAGGATTACAGCGTGAGCCACCCGCCCAGCCTACTGTTCTATTTCATTAATTTCTTTTTTATTTTTATTAATTTCCTCCTACTCTCTTGGTATTTATTTTATTATTCATTTTCTTTCTAGAAGTAAGTGCTTAGCTGATTTGTTTTCAATTTTCTTTATTTTATAAAATTTCATAGGACTATTTTCCTGAGTTTTCCCTTGTACTCAGTAGCTCTTAACATATAACATTCTTATTTATGTTACTTTATAAATTAATATTTCACTTTGTGTTTCTTCTCTAACAAACAGTTACTTATGACATTTTAAACATTCCAGATAGCTTTGGAATTCTGGATAGGTGAAGGGAGGTAGGGGTGGAGCAGGAAGAAGCTCCCCTTGGTAGTTAATTTCTCAATTATTGCTTCATGGTGAGAAAATATTCTGTATGATTTCTACATTTTAGAATTTACTTAGATGTTCTTTATGGCTGAATAAAACAATTTTGATAAATGTTCCATGAGTATTTGAAGGGAGTGATAGTTTCTGTGAGACACTCTCACACTTGTACATCGATGATAAGGAAAATAATTTTCACTGCAGCTCTTAAAAAATAACGAATATTGATTGAGTTCACATTTTGTGCCATGCATTGTTCTGGGGTTTCTCAACCGGCTGGGCAGTTCTCTCAGGGGATGTCCTGGGCATTGCAGGAGGCTTAGCAACCTCCCTGGCTTCTACCCACCAGTCATTTCAACAAAAATGTCTCCAGACATTGCCAGCTGTCCTCTGGGTATAAAATCAGGCCCAACTGAGAACCACTGCACTATTCTAAAGGCTTACATTTATGAATCATTTAATCCTCATCACAAACCTGTGTGGTAGGTTCTCCTACTGTTATCCTCATTTTCCAAATAAGCATCTGTAAACAGAAGCCAGGTAAAGTTAAAAGTAATTTTCCAAGGTCACAGTGCTATTAAGCACCATTTGTAATTGCAAACAAAACCAGAAAACTCAGTCCCCAGAATCACCTTACGTGTCATTTGATGAATTGTGGTACGTACATACAAAGGAATGTAGGACAGATTCACTGGTTGCTTTGATTTATGTTTGATGAAGAAATTTCAGAAGCGACATTGAGAGGGAAAAAAGCAAGTTGCAGCTATCTTTCAGATGAGGAGAAAATATGCAATCTCACCTGAAATCTCTGATAATTCTAACTTCAGTTTCCCTTTGCAATTTCCTTTCCGTTCCCAGAATTTCCCTTGCGTTTGTGGGAATGGTTTGGGTCTCTTCTTCTTGGTCTTTTCCTTTCAGGAAGCTGCGTTTCCTCAAGTGTCGAGTGGCTCTCGTGCTTCCAGTCACATTTCCGTGAAAGAAACTACTGGGATATTGGGGGCAGGACTTGACGACTGACAGCCATCACCACAGCGCTGACTCTGTCCCTCAAGACCATGAGTGTACCGGGCAGACACACTTCTCCTAGCTCTGGCCAGCCTGGCACTGCCAGTCCCAGCCAGGCAGCTGGGAGGGTGCCTGAACTGCCCCTGGCTGGGTGGCCTTAAGGACCCCAGGGGGTGCTGCCAGCCATGACTCACCCACTTTCCACTTCTTTGCAGAAACCTAACTATCAGTTAACTATCAGGGTCCCCTTTTCTTTGTGTTAGGGACCCACGGGCCTGTATTCCTTTACTGTCATTTGAACGGTATTTTGAGAAAACAGTAGGCACTCAACCAAGGCACACTGCTAAGTCAGTTTCCACTCGAGTATCTGCTTTCCAGCTTCCAAGATTTTCCAAGGTTGTGTTGCTGTTATTCCCTCTTCTATTCCCACACTTGTAAGATTTTGTGTGTGTATGTGACACAGTCATACACACACACACCAGTTGTTAAAATGCTGAAATATCTGGTTAATAAACAGAAGCTTCCCTGAGCTTCAGGTGCCCCATAGCCCCAGCCTTTTCCCTGAGACCCCAGTCCCCTACACTTTGTCCTGGGTGGTGAGTGTCTTCCCGCCTTTGGCGATTTCGAGCTTTTCCTCACGTGGGAGGGCAAGGAGCTGCATGCAAAGGGGTGATGCTGAAGGCTGCACCTCCAGTTTAAAAAGGCTCCCCGGATGATTTTGACTACCAGCCAGATTTACAAGCCATTGCACAGACAACAGGGCTAGGGTTCAGACTCTTCCGCTTCCCACAAGTGGGGTTTTAGAGACGTCACCTCTCCTCTTTGAGTCTCGGCTTCTCCATCAGTGAAACGGGGATGAGGATCTCTCTTGCAGAGTTGGGAAAATTAGAAGAGATGCTGTGTGCAGCGACCCTATACCATGTGCAAGGACGCCCCTCCAGGAAGGTGGTGTAATGTACATGATGACCACCAGGTGGTGCCATTGGCATCGGTGGGGAAGCGCAGCCAGGCTCAGACTCGGGTGGGTGTCTGCAGCTCCTGCTTAGCTTTTGCTTGTTTTGTTTTTTTCTTTTAAACTGATGGCTCCCCCAGGAACACAGAATCAGAATCTCCGGGGTTGGGGCTAAAACGTATATTTTAGCAAGTGGTTTTAGTCCACACTGTGAAAATCTGTGATCTGCTGTTTTTCATAGAGATGGGGGTCTTGCTATGTTGCTGAGGCTGGTCTTGAACGCCTGGCCTCAAATGATCCTCCCACCTTGGCCTCCCAAAGTGCTGGGATTACCAGCATGAACCACCGTGCCCAGCCTCTTAAGACCGGCTATCTAGAGCACCAAGCAAGGGTGCTCTCTGGAGTAATGGGTTCTTGCCCTTGGCTCTCCCTGGCTTTGGCACGGGACCTCCATGGGTGAATGAGCCCCCGGGATTGATAGGACAGCCCCTGATGGAGCCCACTTCCTGGCTTTGATCTTGGCTGTCCCTCCATGGCGCTTCTGTGAACATCCTCCCGCCCCATCCATGCACAGCATCTGCGCTGAGGAGAGGCTTGGACCCTGCAGGCTGCAGGGAAACGCCACTGGATAAGTGACGCCTACCGCGGAACAGCCCTCAGCAGCTTAAAGCAAAGGAAGGCGTGCCAGGAGGTGCCATAGTCCATCCAGGTCAGAGATGACGGGACCTGAGCTCAGGTGGTAGAAGGAAGGGAAGAGAGGAAGACCCAAGAAGCTTCCAGGATGTGTGGGGTGGGGAGGAGAGGGACAGGTCTAGAAACGCCTCATCCCTGCAACTGTGGTTAAGGGCCAGCAGCAGCAGTAGCTGGGTTTCTTAGAAATGCAAAATCCAGTCTGTAGCCCCAACTACTTAGGAGGCTGAAGCAGGAGGATCACTTGATCCCAGGAGTTTGTGTTCAGCCTGGGTAACATAGTGAAACCCTGTCTCCAAAAGAAAAGAAAGGAGGGAGAGAGGGAGGAGAAAGAAAGAAAGAAATAGAAAAGAAAGAGGAAAAGAAAGAAAGAAAGGGAGGGAGGAAGAAGGAAAAAGGAAGAAGGGAGGGAGGGAGGAAGGAAGCAAGGAAGGAAGGAAGGAAGGAAAGAAGGAAAAAAATAGAGAAGAAAGGAGAAAGAAATCCAGAATCTTAGGCCTACCAGGCTTGCTGAATGAGAACCTGCATTTTAATAAGACCTCCAGGTGATTTACGCATGCCTTGAAGTGTGCAAAAGCCCTGGTCTACAGTGTGCAAAGCCCTGGTCTAGTGTGTGCAAAGCCCTGGTCTAGAGTGTGCAAAGCCCTGGTCTAGAGTACCAACTAAGATGCTCGCTGTTATGAGTGGGCAGCAATGACATCACCCATGGTAGAGGATGGAGAAGGAGGAGGAGCAGGAGAAAGCCAGGGGCGGTGGGGAGGGGGGTATCTGAGTTCCACTGGAGTCTCCAGAGTTGGAGGGAGCCTGAGGTTACCAGGTGCAGTGTTGGGGAGGAGCTGGGCATGTGCCTGAAGCTAGGGGAGGGCAGGGTCTTGCAGGAGGTGCAGGAGTGGGAGCTGGGGGCACACCTGTGATGGCTGGAGTCCTGAGTGCAGATGACATCTCTCTGGGAAGTGGGGTGGCACTGACAGTGCCCAGATGGCCGTGATATGGACGGAGTGGATTTGGGCTCAGCTCCTCTGACTCCATGGTTTGTGTTGTCTGCCCAGGGCCTTCCTCAGAGTTGCCTGGCCTTTGTGACAACTTGTCCACCTGATGCCTCCACGCAGTCCTTCACTGGCTTGCAGTCCCCGGGAGCACTCACGACCTTCCCGCAGCCCAGGTTGCTGCTGGGAACCCCCGCCCCCCAACCCAGGGAACTGCACACCACACCTGCTCGCTTCTGCCAGAAGCCTGAGCAGTCCCCCTTATCCCCAAGCCTCACTGATTCTGCACCCCAAATCCATCCACTTCTCTTCATTCCCACTGCCACCACCCTGGTCCAAGAACATCACCTTGAATCAGACGACACAAAGGGCTGTCCCAGGATCCAGCACTGACCTCTACAATCTACTCCAGCCACCGCAGTCAGAGGGACTGTCCCAAAATGCAAATCATTCCCACATGCTTCCGTGTGGGCATCTCTGGTGGCTTGTCACCAGGACGGTGTTGCTGCCACAACCTCTCCAGCTCTGCCTGGGTGTCTCCCCGTGGCACCAGCACCAGCCTCCCCCGTGGCCTTCTGCCTCCAGCCAGGCCGGCTCTTTTCAGCCCCAGGACTTCCCGTGTGCCCCCAGATCTCCGTAGTGGGCTCCTTCCCTACCTCCCCACCTCAGGGAGGCCTTGCGCGTCATTCCCGTTCTCAGCACCATTCCCCCACCAGGGACCCACGCTGCAGCAATGCATCTGCTCATCGCCCTGGTTATTGTCCATCTCTCCCCACAACTATCAGCTTCCTGCAGTGAGGACGGCGGGACCAGACAGACACGTGTATTCACTCTGGTGTTGAGTGACCGGCCAGCGCGTTCCGGAATCCAGAGAAATCTCAGGACCCTGGGGCTGAAGTGGTTGGGAAAAGCTTCCTGAAGGTCCTTCCTGAGATAAAGCTGGAAAGAGGGGCAGACTCTTCGTAAGTACAGACTATTTTGGGCAGGGTCAAGGGTGAGAGATGAGACTGAAGTGTGTGCACAGGAGATGAAAGAGACCAACCTGGCTGCCCGGAGCTGGATGGAAGTGCAGAGGGCCTCAAACACCAGGGTGGTGAGGCTGGATCCAACCAGAGGCCTCTGACAGAGTCCAGGTAACCCTGAGCTCTGGCCCCAATGTCCTGCTCCTGACCTCTGTGCCCTGGGCCAGTCCACATCCTGACTCACACCAGGCCCCATTCCCATCTGAGCTCACCTTGGCCTGCGTCTTCGTCTGTTTTCTGTTGCTATCACAGAATATCACAGACTGAGTAATTTACAACGAAGAGAAGTGTATTAGGCTGGCAGCGCAGGAGGCCGGGAAGTCTGAGATCAAGGGGCCAGCATCTGGTGAGGGCCCTGCTGACGTGTCATCCTGTGGCAGTAAGTGGAAGGACGGGGTGTGTGTGCTCCAGAGACAGACCAAGAAGGGACCGAACTCGCTTTGATAACAAACCCACTCCCATGATGATAGCATTGATGGGCTCAGGAGGGCCCAGCCCTTGTGACCTCATCACCTCTTAAAGGTCCCACCTCTCCGTGCTATTGCACTGGGGACTAGGCTGCCAGTGCAGGAACTCTAGGGGACACTTTTAAGCCACGGCAGCTTCTCTGTCCCGACTCCCGTGGCCTTCCTGACTTTCAAGCCCCCCTTCCTCCAGGCTAATAATCACAATTGTCCCTGTCCCAGCACAGGCCGTCAGCCCCTCCTCCACCCAGGCCAGAATCAGCGGCAGCAACCCTGGGCACCCCGACCTGCCCTGCCTGCCTGGCCCTTGGGGGACTTTAGCCACGCTCTGAGCCCATTTCCTCACCTGTAAACCGGGGTGAAGACGTTTCCTCCCTGAGCACGAAATGTTTTTCCACCTTCCTGCTTCAGACTTTCTGGACCAGTGGGGAAGAGGGGACCTCCTGGAGCTGACTCAGCACCAGAAAACAGTCCCCACCAGCTCTCTAATTTGACCCCAGATGTGTCTTTCTCCTTGAATACGGCGGGACGGGCGGCTCCCTCCCTCACCACCTCCCCTTAGAGCCCTGGATTCTTATCTTGAGTGCAAAGCAGGGCCTTGCCCCGGGGCCCCAGTACACCTCTCCTCCCTCCCATTAGTCCTTCCAGCTCACCTCAGTTCTCCACCAAAGGCTGAGCGTGCCAGCTATCCACGGGCGCCTGCCCAGGGCTTCCCGGCTGTGGCCAGGGCAAGAGGACAAGACAAGCTCTTGGACAACCCACTCCGCCCCGGCCTTCTGGCTTCTGGAAAGCCCTGGGGAATTCCAAGCTCACTGCTGGCCCCAGCCCAAGCTGCCACACCCTGCCTCTCCAGCAGCACCATAGCCTCACCCACAAATACTCTCTGCTGCCATCCATTCCTCAGCCCTGCCTCCTCCTCCAGGAAGCCTCCCTGGTGACCCCAGCCCCCAGGAACAAATAGCATTTATCTTTATGCAGAATTGCAGAACTTTTAAAATTTTATTTTTGAGACAGAATCTTGCTCTTGTCACCCAGGCTGGAGTGCAGTGGCACAATCTCAGCTCACTGCAACCTCTGCCTCACAGGCTCAAACCATCCTCCCACCTCAGCCTCCCGAGTAGCTGGGAATACAGATGCACTCCACTACACCCAGCTAATTTCATATTTTTAGTAGAGACGGGGTTTCGCCATATTGGCCAGGCTGGTCTTGGACTCCTGGCCTCAAAGGATTCACCCGCCTTGGCCTCCCAAAGTGTTGAGATTACAGATGTGTGCCACGGCGCCTGGCCTCAAACTTCTTTTACAGATTCATGCTTTGTGGGGTGTAGGGTCTCCCCTTTGTTTCTGACCAAGTGCCCAGTGTTTGGGGGCTGCCGTGAGCCCCTCCTCTGCTCCCCGTACACAGAATGGAAGCCTGGCTGAGTGCTAGACCACTCGTTTTCTGGACAGGGTCAGGCAGGCATACCTGGGAGCAACCACACCGCGCCCGCGCGTGGCTGAGGGACAGGTTTGGGAACCTTGGAAGCGCGTTAGGCCTGAAGCTCAGAATGCAGAAGCTTGAGCCGAGTATTGGGCAGCCATGGAAAATGCTGCACCGCCACCCTGCCCGGAAAAAGAGGCAAGGCAGAGAGGACTCTGCATAATGGCATCTTTGAGCAGGCCTGTCCGCAGCCACAGGGCTCTCAACGGGTGTTATCTGGTGAGAGGGTGCCAGTAGCTGTGGGGGAAGGTGCTGTGCCTGCCAGACCTGCAGCTCCTAGGCTGAGCCACTTTTGGCCAGGTCTCCCCCAACGCCGGAGCCCCAAGCCACAGGCCCCAGAGTCCCCTGTGCTGGTGGCTTTCCTGGAGGGGTGAACTTCGCTGAAAGTTACCAGGTGGCCATCTGGTTAGCATGGACAAGTCCAGCCTGGAGCTACTGAACTGGGGACACAGCCCAATCCAAGGCACCTTCTCTTAACTCAGCCATGTGCCACAACTGCCTGAAGGACTGTGGGCCAGCTCACGTTTGGACAGGGCCTTTTAGCCTCCCCCGAGCCCAGGCAGGTCATTTTGCAGATGAGGAAACTGAGGTTACAGAGGCTGACACATGGTTCTCCAGGGTGTTATGTGGCAGACGTATCTTCACTCCCCTGGTGTCTGTCCCTGTCATTTCTGGGTGGGGAAGGTGAAAGGGGTTTCCTGGCAGGAATCAGTCTGGTTCCTACAAAGGGCCGAGGCCATCATGCTGGGGCTGAGGCAGATGCCGGCCAGCAGGCTACATAAGGCGGAGAGGACCACACGTCACCCTCAGTGGCCAGGAGCACCAGTGCCAGGGCGAGCATCCTGTCAGTAGCAGGGAGGTGGGGTGCACCTAGTGTGTCTGGAGTTTGTCCCTTCCGGTGGGTTTGTAGTCTCGCTGACTTTAAGAATGAAGCTGCGGACCTTCACAGTGAGTGTTACAGCTCTTAAAGGTGGTGTGTCCGGAGTTTCTTCCTTCCGGTGGGTTCCTGGTCTCGTTGACTTCAAGAATGAAGCCGCAGCCCTTCACGGTGAGTGTTAACAGCTCTCAAAGGTGGTACAGACCCAAAGAGTGAGCAACAGCAAGATTTACTGTGAAGAGGGAATCAACGAAACTTCCACACCGTGGAACAGGACCCTAGGGAGTTGCTACTACTGGCCAGGGGTGGGGTGGGTGGCCAGCTTTTTTTATTCCTTTATTTGTCCTTGCCCACATCCTGCTGATTGGTCCATTTTACAGAGCACTGATTGGTCCATTTTACAGACTGCTGATTGGTCCATTTTACAAACCTCCAGCTAGCCACAAAGCACGGATTGGTGCATTTTTACAGAGCACTGATTGGCACATTTACAAACCTCTGGCTAGCCACAGAGCATTGATTGGTGCATTTTACAATCCTAGCTACAGAGTGCTGATTGGTGCATTTTACAATCCTCTCGTAAGACAGAAAAGTTCTCCAAGTCCCCACTGGACCCAGGAAGTCCAGCTGGCTTCACCTCTCGCTAGGGGCACCTGCAGGAGACGCAGCAGATATAGGCATCTTTGGTGAGTATCCACTCCCTCTTATGGTGGCTCCCTTAGGGCTCGTTCCTGTCCCTCTCTCAGTAGATGGGGTTCCAGCCAGATGGCCCCTTCTGTGCCCTGCAACAGGCCTGGGGCCAAGGCCTGAAGGCTGACCCATAGCATTCCTTTCCCTGTCAAAATTCCTGCTGCTGAGATGGGCACGAGTTCAACCCAGGATGACAGACACCATTCAGGGACTTTTGGAGGGAATGTTTACTTTGGGTTTATTGAGCTGGGTGTGTGGAAGTCAGAAGTGCTGGAGCCTGTGAGGGTGAAGGCAACACGAACTGCAGCTGACTGGGGGAGGTTGGGGAGTGGGGGAGGCACAGGCCTGGGGTCGGGGACGGGACCCTGGCCAGGGATGCCCAGCATCTACACATATGGTCCTTTATCCCAGATCCCATCTTCACTGGGTTTCCATCCCCTCCAAGAAGAGTCCAGCGAGGCTCAGAGCCCAGCAGTCTGAGGCCGGAGCGTGATGTCTTGATGGAGTGCAGCAGCAGGCGGCCACAGGGGGGCTCCAGGTGGAGGCAGGGTGGACAGAGGGTGGCCTTGGAGGTGCGTGGGGCGGGGGCAGGGAGAGTCAGGGGCCTGAGCCAAGACCACGTTGTTGATGGGAGCTGAGGCCCAGAAGACAGGTGCTGGGAAGGGCCAGGGAGTCTTCCAGAGTCAAGATCCCAGAGCCTCCACCTCCCACCCAATGCTGGGATTTGTAGCTGGGGGTGGGCCGGAGACAGGAGGGGGACTGGGAAGATGGCCCTGATACTTTCCAGAGGAAGCCAGCTTTCTCAGGGGCTGCAGGAGCTGTTCGTTCAACAAACCTCAGACCTGTGCTCACCCCTGTGAGGTGGGGGGCGTGGGACCTGGGTTAGACCCAGTTCTGACCTTGCCCTCCAGAGCCCACAAGGATAACGGGAGGCAGGCCTGGTCCTCACACCAGGTGCCCAGCATCCTGCCCAGGCTGTGCTGGGGCTGACCACCCCACGATGAGGGTCCATTTCTACCCGCTCTGCTGCAGAAAGGACAGGGTCTGTCTAGGGACAGATGTGGAGACCCTGAAAGATGCAGCAGCAGGATGGGCCTGGGTGGGAGGAGCTGGAGCTGGAGGAAGCTGGGCACCAGCTGTGAGCCCCACCTCACATCTCCAGCTCACCTGGACTTCTCAGTAATCCCTCAGGCTGGCCTGGGCTGCAGAGGGGGTCCCAGCTGTATCAGCACGCAAGGCCTGCTCTGGGGCAGGCTGGGAAGCCCTGGTTTGTCAGAGAACTGAAACCACACTGAGCAGACGCGGCTGCAACCCATGCAGAGAGAGAAGAGCAGCTTTCAGGGCTGCTGACTTTGCACTGGAACCCCAGATGACTCCCACAGACCCTGCTAGACCTCTCCACCAGGCTGCAGCTTCCAGGAGGAGGAGATGCCCCATGGCTGATGCAACAAGTTACCACAAACCTGGTGGCTAACACAAGTTTATTCTCTACAGTTCTGGAGGCCACAAGTCTAAAGTCAGTTGTACGGGGTAAAGTCAAGGTGTCAGCGGGGCTGGTTCCCTCTGGAGGCTCCAGAGGAGAAGCTGCTCCTGGCCTCTGCCAGCTCCTAAGGGCTGCCAGCATTCCTTGGCTTGTGGCCACAACCTCCAGTCTCTGCCTCCCTGGTCACGTCGCATTCTCGTCTGTGTGTAATCTCTCTTCCACCTTCTCTTCTGTGTGTAGTCTCTTTTCCTCTCTCTTGTAAGGACACTTGTGATTACATTTAGGGCCCACCTGGCTAACCCAGGACAACCTTTCCATCCCAAGATCCTTAGCTTCGCCAGGTGCAGTGGCTCACACCTGTAATCCCAGCATTTTGGGAGGCCGAGATGGGTGGATCACTTGAGGCCAGAAGTTTGAGATCAGCCTGGCCAACATGGTGAAACCCCCTCTTTAATAAAAAATACAAAAATTAGCCAGTTGTGGTGCATGCCTGTAATCCCAGTTGCTCGGGAGGCTGAAGCAGGACAATCCCTTGAACCCAGGAGGCAGTTTGCAGTGAGCCGAGATTGTGCTAGTGCACTCCATCCTGGGCAAGGAAGTGAGACTCCATCTCAAAAAAAATCCTGGCCAGGGCCTGTAATCCCAGCACTTTGGGAGGCTGAGGCGGGTGGATCACGAGGTCAGGAGATTGAGACCATCCTGGCTAACAAGGTGAAACCCCATCTCTACTAAAAATACAAAAAAAAAATTTAGCAGGGCATGGTGGCGGGTGCCTGTAATCCCAGCTACTCGGGAGGCTGAGGCAGGAGAATGGTGTGAACCCGGGAGGCGGAGCTTGCAGTGAGCCGAGATCGTGCCACTGCACTCCAGCCTGGGCGACAGAGCGAGACTCCATCTCAAAAAGAAAAAAGAAAATCCTGGCTGGGCGTGGTGGCTCATGCCTGTAATCCTAGCACTTTGGGAGGCCAAGTTGGGCGGATCACCTGAGGTCAGGAGTTTGAGACCAGCCTATTCAACATGATGAAACCTGGTCTCTACTAAAAATACAAAAAATTAGCCGGGTGTGCTGGCAGGTGCCTGTAATCCCAGCTACTTGGGAGGCTGAGGCAGGAGAATCACTTGAACCCAGGAGGTGGAGGTTGCAGTGAGCCGAGATCATGCCACTGAACTCCAGCCTGGGTGACAAGAGCAAAACTCCATCTCAAGGCCAGGTGCGGTGGCTCATGCCTTATAAACCCAGCACTTTGGGAGGCCGAGGCAGGTGGATCATGAGGTCAGGAGATCAAGACCTTCCTGGCCAACATGGTGAAACCCTGTCTCTACTAAAAATACAAATATTAGCTGGGCATGGTGGTGGGCACCTGTAGTCCCAGCTACTTGGGAGGCTGAGGCAGAACAATTGCTTGAACTTGGGAGGAGGAGGAGCTTGCAGTGAGCCGAGATTGCACCACTGCATCCCAGCCTGGGCGACAGAGCAAGACTCCGTCTCAAAAAAAAAGAATCCTTACCTTAATCACACCTGCAGAGCTCCTTCATGCCACAGAAGGCAACGGTTGTGTGCTGCAGGGATTAGGACTGGATGTCTTTGGGGCCATCATTCAGCTGACCACACTCTCCCTCCTTGAGGAGACCTAGCCTCACCTGGAGCATCCTTCATTTCCACAGGCACTCATGGTTGGGCTCCTGGGAAGAAGCTGCTGTCAGGATATGCCAGCCTCCGGGGCTGAGCAGGCTCCCACCCCGCACCTGGCCTGGGGAGCCCAGGAGCTTGGTGAACCACCAAGGGGGCAGCAGGAGCTATGTGGCTCCTGCAGTGTGGCTGTGGCTCCCCATGAAGTGGGGCCTGGAAAAACGTGATCCCACTCTCCCAAAGCAGGAGGGGGTGGCTGGGGATGCACATTCCCAGGCCCAGGAACCTGGGACTTCCAGAAGCTCCCTTGGCACTCGGGTGCTATTGAGGCCTGGGCACCACTGGGGTGCCGTTCTCTGCTGGCGAGCTTAGGGTCCCTCTGAGAATCACTGTCCTGGGAGCCGTTTACATTCGGAGCAATTCCTTCCTCTGTAGGTCTGACCCTGAGGCCCTATGAGTCTGGGGAACAGATGGCTGAGCCCCACGGCCTCTCTCCAGCCTGGGTGGGCAGCAGTGCGTGTGTGGGACATCTCTACGAATAAGGGACAAAAGCCACGTCACCAAGGGACTGACCTTGTGAGGATGGGTCAGGGAGGACTGATCCCCTCCGCCCCTCACCCAAGGAGCAGAGGTGAAAACCCAGCTCACTGCCAGGAGCATGAGGGACAGAGGGCGGAGAACAATGTCACTCGTCTGCTTTGGGTGCCACCCACGCTCTGCAGCCCCAAGTGGCATCTGCTCCCCCAGGTGCTCAGGGCTCGCCCGCCTCACCCCAGGATTCTCCGTCTTGGCCGCTCTGAGTCCTAAGGGAATGTTGTCTTCCTGCTATGATCTCTTCCCCAATCAGGTCACAAGCACCGGCTCCCCGCCCATGAGAGAGGAAGGCCTGAGACACAGCATGGAGCTGGAAGTCCTTGTGCTTCACCACCGACTCCTGCTGGGGGCCAGCTTGGCCTCCCATAGGCAGAGCATGCTTCTCTTTACTGACCACATGTCTTCCCCAGGGCCCTACTAGCTTCTGTCCAGGGCAGGGTGGAGAAAGGGGAAAGAGCTTCCCAATGGGGGGTTGGGACTTGAAGTCCCATGATGGCCCTACAGCTCAGGACCCCAGCCACAGGAGACACCACCTAGAGTGCCTCCTTTCCTCCATGACACCCAGCACTACATCTGTGTCATTCCTGTTTCTTTGGAGAACAGTCTGTCCTTCCCACCATGGTAGCCACATGATCTGAGTGTTGTGATCACCTCCCATACACCAGGTGCTGTTCTAGGCACTCTGAGTACAGCAGTGACCAATCCAGACGCTCTGCCCTATGGAGCTTATATTCTAGTGGAGGCCAAGAATAGGTGCTGGTAGGGCTTAGATTCGAGTACACACGTGGTTAAAACATGGCTAACTGGGAGGCTGTTTAGGGTGAGATGCTCCGGAACCTTGAGTTCTCATGTGAGCAAATGGAAACCTACCTCAGAAGCTCAGGGTGAACGGTCACAGCCTGGGAGAGCAAAGCCAAAGCTTAACCCGTCAGGAGCCACCACCGCAACTCTCACTGGGGACTTTCCAGTTTGACCAATCAAATATCTTCTTCTTTTGTTGTTGTTGTTGTTTTGAGACGGAGTCTCACTCTGTCGCCCAGGCTGGAGTGAGGTGGCGCGATCTCGGCTCACTGCAAGCTCCGCCTCCCGGGTTCACGCCATTCTCCTGCCTCAGCCTCCCGAGTAGCTGGGACTACAGGTGCCCACCACCACACCCAGCTGATTTTTTGTATTTTTAGTAGAGACAGGGTTTCACCATGTCAGCCAGGACGGTCTCGATCTCCTGACCTTGTGATCCGCCCGCCTCGGCCTCCCAAAGTGCTGGAATTTACAGGCATGAGCCACGGCACCCAGCTCAAATATCTCCTTTGTCTTGTTTTGGCCAACACCTTAATAAAGTTTTCCCCTGAGCCCCCAGGTGGAGTGCTGCCGCTTATGGTCTGGTGCTGCCTGATTCACAAATCGCTGAATGCTCAAACTAATGAACATTTTTGTTGTTGTCGAGATGGGATCTTGCTGTGTCACCCAGGCTGGAGTGCAGTGATCATCGTGTGTCCGGAATTGGTGGGTTCTTGGTCTCACTGACTTCAAGAAGGAAGCTGGTGGCCCTCGAGGTGAGTGTTACGGTTCTTAAAAGCAGTGTGTCCGGAGTTTGTTCCTTCTGATGGTTCATGGTCTCGCCGGCTCGGGAGTGAAGCTGCCGACCTAGTGGATCTTGCACAGGGGCCGCAGGTGGAGCTGCCGGCCAGTCCCGCGCTGTGTGCCCACACTCCTCAGCTCTTGGGCGGTCGATGGGACCGCGCCCCATGGAGCACGGGGTGGCGCTCGTCAGGGAGGCTCGGGCCGAGCAGGAGCCCACGGGAGTGGGGGTGGGGTGTGCTCAGGCACGGCGGGCTGCAGGTCCCGAGCCCTGCCCCGCGGGGAGGCAGCTGAGGCCCGACGAGAATTCGAGCACAGCACCAGCAGGCCGGCACTGCTGGGGGACCCGGTGCACCCTCCGCAGCTGCTGGCCCGGGTGCTAAGCCCCTCACTGCCCGGGGCCGGTGGCGCCGGCCGGCTCCAAGTGTGGGGCCCACCCAGCCCGCGCCCACCCAGAACTTCTGCTGGCCCGCAAGCGCCGCACGCAGCCCCGGTTCCTGCCCGCGCCTCTCCCTCCACACCTCCCCGCAAGCTGAGGGAGCCGTCCGGCCTCGGCCGGCCCAGAGAGGGGCTCCCACAGTGCAGCGGCGGGCTGAAGGGCTCCTCAAGCACAGCCAGAGTGGGCACCGAGACCGAGGAGGCGCCGAGAGCGAGCGAGGGCTGCGAGGGCTGCCAGCACGCTGTCACCTCTCAATAGCTTCCTGCAGGCTCAAACTGCTGGGCTCAAGCAATCCTCCCACATCAGCCTCCCAAAGTGCTGAGATTACAGGTGTGAGCCACTGTTAGCAGAACACCAGCGGTTCACTCTGGGACCCACTGCTCACCGCACAGAGAGCCAACGACTGGGACGAGTATTGCCAAGGAAGAAAGCTTTAATCGGGCGCTGCAGCCAGAGAGATGGGAGCTCACTCTCAACTCCATCTCTGACCTACTAAAACTAGGGGTCTGTATATTAGGAAGAAATGTAACAATGTTCAAGAAAATAGGAACTGGGATGAAATGTAACAATGTGTAAGAAAACAGGAACTTGAGAGGGTAAGGGAGCAATCCTGATGGATGAGGGGCCTGGAGTCTCATTGTCTGGATGTCATGATCTGGTGAGTTTCAGTTCTTGGATACTTTTTTTTGAGAGGCCTGAAGGTGTTTCCCAAGGAAGGAACTCAGATAAAACAAGTGTAAGGTTCAAAAGGGTCAATTTCTATGTTTGTCCAAACAACTATCTTTGGGACAATTGGGTCAGTTTCACTACCATGCCTGGTCAAAAATTTCAGCCTGCCTAAATGTGACTTTTCAGGCCCCAGTTGGGACCATACTCAGCTATTCCCTTGTGAGGCACTGCCCACCTGCCACCAAATTAGGCCCTTGATGCCTGCTGGTCCAGTGGGTGTGTCCAGCCCTCGTCACAGGGGTTGACCTGCAGGGGCAAGGGGACATCCCCCTGAGCCAGGCACTGGGTATTCTTTCCAGCTGGAGTGGGGAGAAGCTCCTTCCCCCACTGGTCCACTGGAGGAGCCTGCCCTGTCTTCAGCCAGGGGAAGGCCGGCCTGAGTGAATGAAACCAACATACGATTGGAAAGAGATGGAGAGGAGGGGAAGAGGGGGTTCTGGTGGCCCTGGCCCTGGTTCCCATTGTCCCCCAAGGCCACTTGCCCCTGTCCTTCCTGTGTGTCCTATAGCCAATTGGAGTTGGCTTTTGAGTTGTTTGTATTTTTCATTTTCTGTATAGTATAATGTTTTGACATCTTTAAAAAGACCTTTCTGGCTGGGGAGAAGGAGAACTGCCCTCTAACTGGCCAATTTCTAGAGATAGCATATCTGGAGCACGCCTTCGATATATAAACTAACCATCCACAGCCAGGCCTCCTCCCTCAGGCCCGTACACACGCGAGGCAACATTCCTCTGCCTTCATCATTCCAGGGTCAGGCTGGGCACCTAGGGACCCCCACACTATAGTTTGGAGCCCAACTAGCCAGCCCTAAACTCTTCACATCTCCCTGCGTGGCCTCTCCCAATAAAGGCTGTGGCCTGGACTTTGCCTTGCCCCTCTTTTCTGTGTCCCGACCAAAACATGGTAGTCACATGGTCCTGCAGCATGTTCCGTGCCTCCTGTGTCTGTAGCATCCGTGAGCACAATCAGCTTTCTTTTCTTTCTTTCTTTTTTTCTGACACAGAGTCTCACTCTGTTGCCCAGGCTGGAGTGCAATTGTGTGATGTCGGCTCACTACAACCTCCGCCTCTTGGGTTTAAGCAATTCTCTTGTCTCAGCCTCCCGAGTAACTGGGATTACAGGCGAGTGCCACTGCGCCCAGCTAATTTTTGTATTTTTAGTAGAGACGAGGTTTCACCATGTTGGTCAGGCTGGTCTTGAACTCCTGACCTCAGGTGATCCGCCTGCCTCCACCTCCCAAAGTGCTGGGATTTCAGGCGTGAGCCACCACACCCAGCCTCAATCAGCTTTCTTTTCTTGTGTCTCTCCTGTGTCTAATTTTGTTGCTGTTGATCTGTTGCTGTTGCTGTTGATCTGATTGACCATCACAAAGCTAAAACCAAACACACACACACACACACACACACACACGAACTGAGTGGGGCATCATGACATGTGCCTGCAGTCCCATCTACTGGGGAGGATGAGGTGGGAGGATTGCTTGAACCCAGGGGTTCAAGGTTACAGTGAGCTACGATCATGCCACTGCATTCTGGCCTGGGCAACAGGTGAGACCTTGTCTCTATTTCAAAACAAAAACAAACAAAACCACAGAACAGTTTTCTCTCACTTCCTACCAGAAAGTCCTTCCCTTCCCTCCCCATATGTAAAACTCTTCCTTCTTTAAGCTCTAGTTTAATGTCACCTTCCCCAAGAAACCTACCCCGGTAGCCTCTGAAAGGGCCCCCTCTCTTCCCTGGGGCCCTGCAACCCTCAGTCAGATGTCATGCCTTTGTATCAGAGATGCTTAGTGCCTGGCTAGAGCCTAACTTAACAGTCAGGAAGTAGGATGGAAGTCCAAATTAGAGCAGATTGCCCATGGAATGGAGCTGATACAACTCTTTAAAGGAGAATATGTTAAAATGTGGCAAAAACTTTTAAAACAGTGCACCAGCCAGGTACAGTGACTCACATCTGTAAGCCCAACACTTTAGGAGGCCAATACTGGAGGATTGCTTCAGGCTGGGAGCTCAAGACCAGCTTGGGCAACATAGTGATGTTACCGGTGGAGGGTCTTGACTATGAGTTGTCCAGTTTCTTGGTGTTTTCAACAAAACATTGGAAAAAATGCACAAATGAAGCAATGAAAGAATGAAGCACAGATTTATTGAATGAAAGCATAGATTTATTGAAACGAAAGTACACGCCACAGAGTGGGAGTGGGTTTCAGTAAGCAGCTCAAGAGTCCCTGGTTACAGAATTTTCCGGGGTTTAAATACCCTCTAGAGGTTTCCCATTGGTTACTTGGTTATACCCTATGTAAATGAAGGAGTGGCCCCTGACCAGTCTGACTGGTTGCAGAAGGCAACCTAGGCTGAAGTGAAGTTACAAAGTTACACCTTGTGCAAACGTCTGATTGGTTGCAGGAGGGAACCAATCAGAGGCTGAAGTTACAAAGTTATACCCCTATGCAATTGAAGACTAGGCCCATGACCAGTCTGATTGGTTGCAGAAGGGGATCAATCAGAGGTACTTTGCATTTTTCTTCTGCCTCCCAGAAAGGTGGGGGAAGTTGCAAAGGGAGTGGCCTCTGATCCTTTTGTTACTTGGGTGTGGAAAGTTGGGGTTTTCATTTTGATTCAATTCTAGGAAGTCAGAGCAAATTGGCCTTAGGTTCTCTGCCTCCAGACCCTATTCTCCTGCCTCAGTGAGACCCTGTCTCTACAAAAAAATACAAAACATTAGCCAGGTATGGTGACGTGCGCCTGTAGCCCCAGGTACTTGGGAGGCTGAGGCAGGAGGATTGCTTGAGCCCAGGAGATTGAGAGTGCAGTGAGCTGTGATTCCAACACTGCACTCTGATCTAGGGGACAGAGTGACACCCTGTCTCTAAAAGCAAACAAAAATGCCGGGAGCAGTGGCTCACACCTGTAATTCCAGCACTTTGGGAGGCCGAGGCGGGCGGATCACGAGGTCAGGAGATCGAGACCATCCTGGCTAACACGGTGAAACCCCGTCTCTACTAAAAATACAAAAAATTAGCCGGGCGAGGTGGCGGGTGCCTGTAGTCCCAGCTACACGGGAGGCTGAGGCAGGAGAATGGCGTGAACCCGGGAGGCGGAACTTGCAGTGAGCCGAGATCGCACCACTGCACTCTGGCCTGGGCGACAGAGCGAGACTCCGTCTCAAAACAATAACAACAACAACACAAACAAAATAAAAAGGGTACATCATTGGCCCAAGACTGTCACTTTTTACAACCTACCCGTTGGAAGTAATCCTTAAAAATTAAAACAAAATGTTGAAGAATTATACCAAGAACAGCAGTCTCTTCATTTCCTGTTGTTCTATTTCATTATTTAGGCATTAACTTCCATATCTCTAAATAGCAGCTTCTATTCTGCTTCTTGGTTGTTCCATTTTAAGCTGCATTTATTGTGTTTCCACAATCCAAGATGAAAATCAGGCTCTTTCCTTCCCGCTGTGTCCCTAACCCCCCCACCCATTTTTAATCCCTCATCTTCCCAAGTATATGCAGTTTTACTGGCATTTTGGCTAGATTGCTATTCCAGAGTAATGGCATTGTGACTATGTAAATGCTATTCACAGCTGAACCATGTGGTACTGTAATTACTTTCCATGTCATAGAACAGCTTTTGTCTGTACTAGAGGCAGTGACTGTCATCTATATCTCTATGTACTTATCACTATTTTTTTTTTTTTTGAGATGGAGTCTCACTCTGTTGCCCAGGCTGGAGTGCAGGTGGTGCCATCTCGGCTCACTGCAGCCTCCACCTCCCGGGTTCAAGTGATTCTCCTGCCTCAGCCTTCTGAGTAGCTGGGATTACCAGCACTTGCCACCACGCCTGGCTAATTTTTGTATTTTTAATAGAGACGGGGTTTCATCCCATTGGCCAGGATGGTCTGAAACTCCTGACCTCAGGAGATCCAACTGCCTCAGCCTCACAAAGTGCTGGGATTACAGGTGTGAGCCACTGCACCCGGCCACTTTTCACTAATTTTATCCCCAAACTTTTCCCTGGTGAGATAAATCTACTTTCAATTGCATAAAAACACATTGGATGCCTTTGCAGATTTAACTTATTGAGGAACTCTCTTCTGAGGACTCCTGCTTTGCTCGTCTGGATGGGTGGCCCTCGTGCCTGGTACTAGCTTTCACTCAGGTGCCTCCTGTCACCATCCCCCAGGGCCTCTCCTTTGCCTCACTCCTGAGCTAGAGCCTCTCTTTCTTGGACTCTATGACTCCTCTTTTCTGTTTTTTCCCCCCACTGTGTTATTAACACATTCCATAGTAGCTTCTAGAAACCAGAAGCATGGGAGATAATTATTTTGAGAACCTGTATGTCTGCAAATGTCTTTAATCTACCCTTATACATGATTGGTGGCTTTCTAGGATATACACATCTAAGTTGGGAGTGTTGTTTTTCCCTATAATTCTGAAGATGCTTGCTTCCTTCCAGAGCTGTTGTGAAGACATCTGAAGCATTCTGATTGATCTTTCTTTCATGGAAGCTGTTTTTTTTCTTTCTATCTGGGAGCATATAAAATATGTGCTTTTCATTCAATGAGCTAACATTTCCTAGTGATGTGCTTTAGTGTTGGTGTGTTTTCATCCGTTGTGCAGAGCACTTGTTCTGGGCAGTGCTTTTTTTTATTCTCGAGGCTTAGGCTTCTGGTAGCTTCTTGACTATTTATTTGGTATCTCTGGCTCCTGTTTTCTCTGAAACTCCTGTTATTCAGATATTAGACTTCTTGCACTGGATTAGAAATTTTAAAATCTTTTGTGCCCCTCATATTTTCCATCTGTCTGTTGACCTTTATATTTTTGTGATGTTTTTCTTTTCTGAGATGGAGTCTCGCTCTGTCTCACCTAAGCTGGAGTGCAGTGGCGCGATCTCAGCTCATTGCAGCCTCTGTCGCCCGGTATGTCTGGAGTTGGTTCCTTCCGGTGGGTTCCTGGTGTGGCTGACTTCAAGAACGAAGCCGTGGACCTTCAAGGTGAGTGTTACAGCTCTTAAAGATGCCATGACCCAAAGAGTGAGCGGTAGCAAGGTTTATTGTGAAGAGTGAAAGAACAAAGCTTCCATAACTGGAAGGAGACCCAAAGGGTTGCTGCTCCTGGCTGGGGGGATGGCCACCTTTTATTCCCTTATTTGTCCCCGCCCATGTTCCGTTTTTGTCCTATCAGAGTGCCCTTTTTTCAATCCTCCCTGCAATTCACTACTTTTAGGATCCTGCTGATTGGTGCATTTTACAGAGCACTGATTGGTGCATTTTACAGAGCACTGATTGATGCATTTTACAATCCTCTTGCTAGCTACAGAGCACTGATTTGTGCGTTTTTACAGAGCACTGATTGGTGCATTTTACAATCCTCTTGCTAGCTACAGATCACTGATTGGTGAGTTTTACAATCCTAGCTACAGAGTGCTGATTGGTGCATTTTACAATACTCTTGTAAGAGAGAAAAGTTCTCCAAGTCCCCACTCCACCCAGGAAGTCCAGCTGGCTTCACCTCTCACTGGGTTCAAGCAGTTCTCCTGTCTCAGCCTCCCTAGTAGCTGAGACTACAGGCGTGTGCCACCAGACCCAGCTAATTTTGTATTTTATTTATTTATTTATTTATTTATTTATTTATTTATTTATTTTTGAGACTGAGTTTCACTCTTGCTGCCCAGGCTGGAGTGCAGTGGTGTGATCTCGGCTCACTGCAACCCCGCCTCCCAGGTTCAAGTGATTCTCTTGCCTCAGCCTCCTGAGCAGCTGGGATTACAGGCGTGCACCACCACGCCCAGCTAATTTTTTGTATTTTTAGTAGAGACGGGGGTTTCACCATGTTGGCCAGGCTGGTCTTGAACTCCTGACCTCAGGTGATCCACCCGACTTGGCGTCCCAAAGTGCTGGGATTACAGGCGTGAGCCACTGCACCCGGCCCATGTTTTTATTTTCTAAAAGCAGTTTTTTTCTCTGTCGTTTCTCACCCTTTTATTTTATTTTTATTTATTTATTTACTTATTTAGAGACAGAGTCTTCCTCTGTCACCCAGGCTGGAGTACAGTGGTGCAGTCTCAGCTCATTGCAACCTCCACCTCAGCTTCAAGTGATTCTTGTGCCTCAGTCTCCCGAGTAGCTGGAATTACAGGCGTGCACCACCACGCCCGGCTAATTTTTGTATTTTTAGTAGAGATGGGGTTTCACCGTGTTAGCCAGGCTAGTCTCAAACTTCTGACATCGTGATCTGCCTGCATCGGCTTCCCAAAGTGCTGGGATTACAGGTGTGAGTCACCACGCCTGGTCTCACTCTTTTATTAAAATATAAAATTCTGTTCTTGAATCATGGATGCACTACCTCCCTGGGGATATTAATAAGAGGCTTATTTTTAAAGCCTTTCTTTCCATGTGTGGTTTCTGCCTCATTCAAGCTCTTGTTTGTTTGTTTGCCTGTTAGTTTTGGTCTCTAGACTTGACATAAGAAGCTTTCCTCAAATGTGTGGTAATCTTTAACAATCCATTCACATTCAGCCATGGGGAAAAATAGGATGGAGGATTTTCAGTTCTAGCCATGACAGAGAAACAAGAGTTGGATTCAGCTTTGTGTTTTAGGCAGCAGTAATACTGTAGAAAATATATGGAGTAAAACTACAGAAATGTGACTTTGAAAGAAGAGAAACACATGTGATAAGCTCCATATTACTCCCAGCTCTCTGCCTGGGAGAACTTTCCAAACAATAAACTGTGGCTGAGACAGGAGGCATTGGCCTTATTGAGTAAAGGACATGGAGATTAGACTTTAGAGCTGCTGCAGTGGCTGGAATTTATGGGGCAGAGTAAGAGAGAGGAAGGACTTGTGCAAAGAAGAAACTGAGCAAGATGCATAGTGCTTCTGTTGACTCCAGCCAAATACTAAGCTGGAATGCTCAGGAAAATATTCTGTGAGGCCAATGAGAGAAAAACTACTGGGAAACCGAACTGAATTGATTTCAGAGGTCACATAACATTGGAAAAAAATTGTATTTCAAACAACTCAAATAGAACGAATTTGCTGAATGACAAGCATTCATATGAGATGCCATAAAGGTAAACCAAAAACACTCTTTAAAGGAAAACAACATAATCTAGACTGATAATAAGGTAGCATAACAACGTCCAACATACCATAAAAAATTGCTACACATATAGGAAGTAGCAGAAGCCCATGAAGAGAAAAAGCGGCCGGGGACAGTGGCTCCCGCCTGTAATCCCAGCACTTTGGGAGGCCAAGGTGGGTGAATCACAAGGTCAGGAGTTTGAGACCAGCCGGACCAACATGGTGAAACCCGGTCTCTACTAAAAATGCAAAAATTGGCCAGACGTGGTAGCGTGCACCTGTAATCCTAGCTACTCAGGAGGTTGAGGCAGGAGAATCACTTGAACCCAGGAGACAGAGGTTGCAGTGAGCCAAGATTGCGCCACTGCACTCCAACCTGGGCAACAGAGTGAGACTCTGTCTCGAAAAAAAAAAAAAAAGAGAGAGAGAAAGAAAGGGTTAATAGAAACAAATCCAAAGATGACAAAGATTATAAAATTGGCAGCTAAGGTTTTTTGACCAGCTATCACTAGAAATTATTCAAGGATTTAAAGAAAAGCATGGAAATAGTAAACAGATGGGGACTTAGCACAAAAATGAAAGTGTGAAAAAGAAAAATTAGAAATTCTAGAACTAACTGATACAATATCGGAAATTAAAACTTCACAGGATGGACTTAGGAAAATGAATAGTGCAAAGAAAGGATTAGCAAATCTGAAGGCAGGTCAATAAAAACTATCCAATTTAAAGCACACAGAGAAATACAAAAAGAATAGAGCTTTCGGGACCTATCAAGCACTCTAAGGCAAAAGTAATTAGATCCTTAGAAGGAGATATGTTATATTGGGGCAGAAAAATATTTGAAAAAATGGTGCCAAATTTTTTCTAATTTTGATGAAAATGACAATCCATATATCCGAAAAGCTCAATAAACTCCAAGCAGTATGAACATACACCCCTAGCCACATTAAACTGGAATTGCTAAAAACAAAAAATAAATAGAATATCTTGAAAGAAGTCAGAAGAAAAGGATGCAGTACATATAGGAAGACAACAGTAGGAATGACCGTGTCATTCTCATCAGAAATAACAGAACTCGTAGAAAATGAAACATGAAGTTCTGAAAGAAAAAAAAATCTGTCAATCAGAATTACACATCTATTGAAAATACCATCAGAAATGAAGGTGAAATAAAGATATTTTAAATGAACAAAAGCTGAAATAATTCACTAACAGAAGATCTACATTACAAGAAATATTAAATAATTTTTCAGTATGAAGAGAAACAATGCCAGAGTTTCCTTTGTTTAATGAGTTGCCTTCAAATATTTGTCAAAAATTAGTTCTGCAAGTATATGTGGGTCTATTTCTGCACTCTCTTTTCCATTAATCAATTTGTCTATTACGCCAGTCCCATGCAAGTCTGATTATATTGCTTTATGATAAGTACTGAATTTAGGTACCGTTACCCTTCTAACTTTGTTCATCTTTTTCAAAATGACTTTGGCTAGTCTAGGTGCTTTTAATTTTCATTTTTTTTCTTTCTTTTTTCCCGAGAAGCCTCTAATCTCTCATAGTTGCTTTTAATTTTCTTTTCTTTTTATTTTATTTATTTATTTATTTTTATTATACTTTAAGTTCTAGGGTACATGTGCACAACGTACAGGTTTGTTACGTATGTATACATGTGCCATGTTGTGAATTTTAGAAACAGCTTTTCAATTTCTGTATTTAAGAAAGCCTACTGGATTTTAATTGGAACTGTATTAAATCTATAGATCAATTTGGGGATAATTAATATGTTAATTTGCAATTCATTGTTAATACATAGGAATAAAATTGACTCTAGTACCTTGATCTGGTGTCCTGCAACCTTGCTGAATTCATTTATTAGTTTCAGTAGCTTTTTTGGAGATTCCACCAGCTGTGTTCTAAAGTATATATACACTGTGGAGTGACTAAACCTAGATAATTAACATATGCATAATCTCACAGTTATCTTCTGTGGTGAGAATACATCCATTATGTTAGCATTTTTAAGATTACAATATACTGGCCGGGCGCGGTGGCTCAAGCCTGTAATCCCAGCACTTTGAGAGGCTGAGGCGGGTGGATCACCTGAGGTTAGGAGTTCGAGACCAGCCTGGCCAACATGGTGAAACCCCATCTCTGCCAAAAATACAAAAATTAGCTGGGTGTGGTGGCACGCGCCTGTAATCCCAGTTACTCGGGAGGCTGAGGGAGGAGAATCGTTTGAACCTGGGAGGCACAGGTTGCAGTGAGCCCAGATTGTGCCACTGCACTCCAGCCTGGGCAACAGAGCAAGACTCCATCAAAAAAAAAAAAAAAAAAGACAGATAAAGTGAAAAGACAACCCAAAAAATGGGAGAAAGAAATTGCAAATCACATATCTCATAAAAACCTACTATCCAGAATATATATAAATTACTTCTTTTAGGAAATATCTATTCAGGTCCTATGCCCATTTAAAAAACTGGGTTATTATCTTGCTATTGAGTTGTTTGAGTTCCTTATATATTTACATATTGACTTTGTATTAGATGTGTAATTTGCAGTGTTTTCTCTCATTCTGTAGATTGTCTCTTCATTCTGTTGATTGTTTTTTCCTTCGCTGTGCAGAAACTTTTTAGAGCTGGGTGTGGTGGCTCACACCTGTAATCTCAGCACTTTGGGAGGCTGAGGTAAGCAGCTTGCTTGAGCCCAGGAGCTCAAGACCAGCCTGGGTAACATGGCAAAACTCTGTCTTTACCAAAAAGAAATCCAAAAAACAAAAATCAGCCGGGCATGCCGGCCTGCACCTGTTCTCCCAGTTACTTGGGGGGCTGTGGTGGAAAAATCATCTGAGCTGACTAATATAGAAGAAAAGAGAGAAGAATCAGACAGACTCGATAAAAATGGAAAAGGGGACACCACCACTGATCGCACAGAAATACAAACTACCGTCAGAGAATACTACACACACCTCTATGCAAATAAACTAGAAAATCTAGAAGAAATGGATAAATTCCTGGACACATACACCCTCCCAAGACTAAACCAGGAAAAAGTCGAATTCCTGAATAGACCAATAACAAGTTCTGAAATTGAGGCAGTAATTAATAGCCTACCAACCAAAAAAATCCCAGGACCAGACGGATTCACAGCTGAATTCTACCAGAGGTACAAAGAGGAGCTGGTGGTACCATTCCTTCTAAAATTATTCCAAGCAATAGAAAAAGAGGGACTCCTCCCTAACTCTTTTTATGAGGCCAGCATCATTCTGCTACCAAAACCTGGCAGAGAGACAACAACAACAACAAAATTTTCAGGCCAATATCCCTGATGAAAATTGATGCGAAAATCCTCAATAAAATACTGGCAAACTGAATCCAGCGCACATCAAAAAGCTTATAAACCATGATCAAGTCTGCTTCATCCCTGGGATGGCTGGTTCAACATATGCAAATCAATAAATGTAATCCATCACATAAACAGAACCAATGACAAAAAACACATGATTATCTTAATAGATGCAGAAAAGGCCTTCGATAAAATTCAACACCCCTTCATGCTAAAAACACTCAATAAACTAGGTACTGATGGAACATATCTCAAAATAATAAGAGCTATTTATGACAAACCCACAGCCAAGATCATACTGAATGGGCAAAAGCTGGAAGCATTCCCTTTGAAAACCAGCACAAGACAAGGATGCCCTCTCTCACCACTCCTATTTAACATAGTATTGGAAGTTCTGGCCAGGGCAATCAGGCAAGAGCAAGAAATAAAAGGTATTCAAATAGGAAGAGAGGAAGCCAAATTATCTCTATTTGCAGATGACATGATTGTATATTCAGAAAACTCCATCGTCTCAGCCCAAAAACTCCTTAAGCTGATAAGCAACTTCAGCAAAGTCTCAGGATACAAAATCAATATCCAAAAATCACAAGCATTCCTAAACACCAATAATAGACAGAGAGCCAAATCATGAGTGAACGCCCATTCACAATTACTATGAAGAGAATAAAATATCTAGGAATACAACTTACAAGGGATATGAAGGACCTCTTCAAGGAGAACCACAAACCACTGCTTAAGGAAATAAAAGAGGACACAAACAAATGGAAAAACATTCCATGCTCATGGATAGGAAGAATCAATATCGTGAAAATGGCCATACTGCCCAAATTAATTTATAGATTCAATGCTATTCCCATTGAGCTACCATTGACTTTCTTCACAGAATTAGAAAAAAACTACTTTAAATTTCATATGGAACCAAAAAAGAGCCCGTATAGCCAAGACAATCCTAAGCAAAAAGAACAAAGCTGGAGGCATCACGCTATCTAACTTTAAACTGTACTACAAGGCTACAGTAACCAAAACAGCTTAGTTCTGGTACCAAAACAGAGATATAGACCAATGGAACAGAACAAAGGCCTCCCAAATAACACTACACATCTACAACCATCTGATCTTTGACAAACCTGACAAAAACAAGCAATGGGGAAAGGATTCCCTATTTAATAAATGGTGTTTGGAAAGCTGGCTAGTCATACGCAGAAAACTGAAACTGGACCCCTTCCTTACACCTTATACAAAAATTAACTCAAGATGGATTAAAGATCTAAATGTAAGAACTAAAACCATAAAAACCCTAGAAGAAAACCTAGGCAATGCCATTCAGGACATAGGCATGGGCAAGGACTTCATGTCTAAAACACCAAAAGCAATGGCAACAAAAGCCAAAATTGACAAATGGGATCTAATTAAACTAAAGAGCTTCTGCACAGCAAAAGAAACTATCATCAGAGTGAACAGGCAACCTACAGAATGGGAGAAAACTTTTGCAATGTATCCATCTGACAAAGGGCTAATATTCAGAATCTACAAAGAACTTAAACATATTTACAAGAAAAAAAAAGAACCCCATCAAAAAGTGGGCAAAGGATATGAACAGACACTTCTCAAAAGAAGACATTTATGCGACCAACAAACATGAAAAGAAGCTCATCATCACTGGTCATTAGAGAAATGCAAATCAAAACCACAATGAGCTACCATCTCATGCCAATTAGAATGGCTATCATTAAAAAGTCAGGAAACAAGAGATGCTGGAGAGGATGTGGAGAAATAGAACGCTTTTACACTGTTGGCGGGAGTGTAAATTAGTTCAACCATTGTGGAAAACAGTGTGGCCATTCCTCAAGAATCTAGAACCAGAAATACCATTTGACCCAGCAATCCCATTACTGGGTATATACCCAAAGGATTATAAATTATTCTGCTATAAAGACACATGCACACTTATGTTTATTGTGGCACTATTCACAATAGCAAAGACTTGGAACCAACCCAAATGCCCATCAAGGATAGACTGGATAAAGAAAATGTGGCACATATACACCGTGGAATTCTATGCAGCCATAAAAAAAGAATGAGTTAATGTCCTTTGCAGGGACATGGATGAAGCTGGAAACCATCATTCTCAGCAAACTAACACAGAAAACCCAACACTGCATGTTCTCACTCATAAGTGGGATTTGAACAATGAGAACATATGGACACAGGGAGGGGAACATCACACACTGGGGCCTGTTGGGGGTGAGGGGCAAGGGAAGGGATAGCATTAGGAGAAATACCTAACGTAGATAATGGGTTGATGGGTGCAGCAAACCACCATGGCACATGTATACCTATGTAACAAACCTGCATGTTACGCACATGTATCCCAGAACTTAAGTATAATAATAAAAAAAAAGACACCCAGGAAGAACAAAAAATACAGAATTTAACATACTAAATGGTTAGCTACATGGTATGGTCATAGTAAGATTGAGGGAAGAAGAAATGTAATAGTATGTCTGAATATACATTTTATATGCTTTTGAAATATTTTAGATACATACAAAAATAAAAGTAAATTTTAAAAAATCACCTGAAGCTGGAGGTCAAGTCTGCAGTGAGCTGTGATCGCACCACTGCACTCCAGCCTGGGCAACAGAGTGAGACCCTGTCTCAAAAAAATGAAAAAAGAAACTTTACAGCTTGATGTAATCCCATTTATCTATTTTTGCTTCGTTGCCTATGCTTTGGGGGTTATCTGCAAAAAGTCCTTACCCAGGCCAATGCCGTGGAGTTTTCCCAAATGTTTTCTTTTAGTAGTTTCATAATTTGGTTCTTACATTTAAGTCATTAATTCGTTTTGAGTTAATTTTTGTATATGGTGTGATCTGAGGGCAGGTTTAGAGGCTCAGTCCATGATTACTGGCCTGGAATATGGGATGTGGGATGTGGGGGTTTGCCTGGTGCTGGGCCTGGTACTGGGGTCTAAGGAAAAGTCCTATGCTTACTTCCCTCTCTTCCTCCCCAGAGGATGGCATCTCTCAATTCAGTGCTGCCTGGGGCTGGGGATGGATGATGTGGGTAACTTAAAACTGCCTCTCCTGCCCTCGCCAATATATACTTTCTCATTATGCTACAACCAGATACTGCTCTCTCTCACCTGGTTTCCTTAGCTCGTGTGAAGATATTTTCAAGCATGAATAGTTGTTCAAATTGATGTTTCTGTGGCGGGACAATCACTGTAAAGTCCTATTTTGCCATCTTGCTTCACTCCTATCCAGCAAAAGAGAGAATCTTGAAAGCATCACAAGAGAAGTAAACTTGTCTCATATAAGGGATCCTCAATAAGATTAACAGCTGATTTCTCATCAGAAACCATGGAGGCCGGAAAGTTGGCATATTTAAAATGATGAAAGAAAAAAAAAACTGTCAACCAAGAACTCTATATCCAAAAAATAATTCCTTAGAAAATTTGTAATTTAATTTTTATTTCTAATAAAATGAACACTTCACAAATTTGCACGTCATCCTTGCCCAGGGGCCATCCTAATCTTCTCTGTGTCATTCCAGTTTCTAGTATATATGCTACTGAAGCAAGGGAACCCAGAAAAACTATTCTTCAACCAATAATAATTCAAAGCCCTTTCATGGAGAACAATCTCATCAATAAATGATGCTGGGCCAACCAGATATCCAAATGCAAAAAAATAAAGCTGAGGCCTTTCCTCACACTATAAACAAAAGTCAACTCAAAAGGGACCGAAACCCTAAGTATAACAGTTAAAGTTACAAAAAACTCTTAGAGAAAACACTGGGGCAAATCCTAATGCCCTGGATTTGGCAATGGGTGCTCAGATGTCACCAAAGTCACATGCAACAACAATAGATAAATTTGTACTTTATCAAGACTAAAAACTTTTGTGCATCAAAGAACACTGTCGGCCAGGTGTGGTGGCTCACGCCTATAATCCCAGCACTTTTGGGAGGCTGAGGCGGGTGGATCACTTGAGGTCAGGAGCTTGAGACCAGCCTGGCCAACATGGTGAAACTCTATCTCTACTAAAAATAGAAAAATTAGCCGGGCATGGTGGTGCATGCCTGTAATCCCAGCTACTCAGGAAGCCGAGGCACGAGAATCGCTTGAACCCAGGAGGCGGAGGTTGCAGTGAGCTGAGATCATGCCACTGCACTCCAGCCTGGGCAACAGAGCGAGACTCCTTCTCAAAAAATAAATAAATAAATAAATTAGTCAGGTGTGGTGGTGCACACCTATAGTCCCAGCTACTTGGGAGGCTGAAGTGGGAGTATCACTTGAGCCCAGGGGTCTGAGGCTGTAGTGAGCTAAGATTATGTCATTGCACTTTAGCCTGGAAGAAAGAACAAGACCCTGTTTTTTAAAAAGAGGAGAGAGAAAGTGTGAAAAGACAGCCCTCAGAATGGGAGAAGGAAATTGCAAATCATGTATCTGATAAAAAATCTACTATCCAGAATATATAAAGCATTATTATTATTATTATTATTATTATTTTTGAAATGGAGTTTCGCTCTTGTTGCCCAGGCTGGAGTGCAATGGTGCGATCTTGGCTCACCACAACCTCCGCCTCCCGGGTTCAAGCACTTCCCCTGCCTCAGCCTCCTGACTAGCTGGGATTACAGGCGTGTGCCAGCATACCCAGCCAATTTTTTTTGTATTTTTAGTAGAGATGGGGTTTCTCCATGTTGGTCAGGCTGGTCTCGAACTCCTGACCTCAGGTGATCCGCCTGCCTGGGCCTCCCAAAGTGTTGGGATTACAAGCGTGAGCCACCGCACCTGGCCGTATAAAGCACTGTTACAACCTAACAACAATGAAGACATACAACCCAGCTTAAAAATGGACAAAGAACTTGAATAGACATTTATTCAAAGAAGATACACAAAGGGCCAACAAGCACATGAACAGATAGATGCTCAACATCACTAATCATCAGGGAAATGCAAATCAAAATCACAACATGATATCAGTTTACAACCACTACGATGGCATAACAACAGAAATTAACAAGTGTTGACAGCGTCTTAGTCCACTTGTGCTGCTGTAACACAACTCCATGGACTGGGTAAATTATAAATAGAAATTTATTTTCTCACAACTCTAGAGGTTGGGAAGTCCAAGATTAAGGCTCCAGCAGACTTGGAGTCTGGCGAGGGCTGCTCTCTTTGCTTCCAAGATGGTGCCCTGTTACTTCATCTTCCAGAGGGGATGACCACTGTGTTCTCGGGAACAGAGAAGGGGTAGAAAGATGAGGCTCCTAGCAGGAAACCCTGGCACATCCCATCTCCCTCAGTCTCTTCTCTGAGTCCTCTCTCTAAGGGGCCTGGAGGGATGGACCAGGTACCTGTTGGGAAAGGAAAGCTGTCAGCCTTTAGGGCCACACTTAAATGGGACATGAGGGCCCAGCACCCTGAGGGTGGGGCTTGACATCAGATCCTGGGTCAATAATTGAGGAGGCTGGCAGTGCAGTTACTTGTGTAAGCCTGTAAGTGTTCAGCCTCAGTTTCCTATCTAAGAAGCCACAGGTGATACTGGAGAGAGAGAGAGAGATGACCTGGGCTGATTTCCCCAGAGAGCCTGGCCCCAGAGACACAGATCTGGGTTAGTATCTCAGTTTTACACCTAAAAACTTAGTAAATCTTTGTAAGGTTACCAATCCCTTGGAGCCTCAGCTTCGTTGTCTGTAAAATGGGGACAATAATACCTGCAGAAGACTGTAGTGAAGGAAAAGTGAAGAAAGTTTATACCGTGCCTCATTCCCCAAACATTTTGAGGCAGTGAGATGATGTACGCAGAGGACCTGGACCAGTAAGCCTCCTTTGCTGTGTTCCCTCTCCCCTCCACATCCTGTCCCTTCCTCCCTCCCAGGCTGCCTTCATGACCTCACCTGTTTCCCACCCGCGATTTCAGGAAAGGGTCTGATAATCCTATCCCACGCAGAAAGCCGGTCTGTGTGGGAGCCCAGGGCCCCAAGACTGGCAGAGAGGAATGGGGGGAAGACAGGGTCTCACCAGGGTCCCTGACAACCCAGCTTTGCCCAGTGTAAGCCCGGCTGGTTTCCACCAGGTGTTCAGGGGTCACTCCAGCTCACAATCCATTTGCACTGAAGTTGTACCTGTGGCCATGGCAGCACGGTACCAGCTTGCAAACACACCCTGCCCCTGCCCCCTGCTTCCTAGCGGACCTGCCTCTCCCCCAGATCCAGCCACCACACTCACCTCTCCAGGCACCCCGCTGGCCAGGCCCCAGCGCGCATGCCTTCACGCGGCTGTAATCACAGCACCCCTTCCAGCTGCTTGCGCGGGCTTCCAAGTTGCAACACAGTCCTCGGAACTTTGCTTTCTAGTGCCGTCAAGGCAAAGCACGTAACTCCAGAGCCACACCCTTGCCCTGAGTGGTTTTCCCCTTCTTTCGGGTTATTTCATCAGGGTAAATTCCCAGCAATCAGAGTCTTGAGCTAGAGAACATGGTATTTGTATGGTTCTCGCTGCTTATTGCCAAATTATTTTCCCACAGGCTTGTGTGCTTTTGCTATGAATAAATGAATAGATTGAATAGATGAGTTTGACTATACCATTACTGCCATTGAGCTTTTTTTTTTTTTTCTTTTTTTTAGACAGAATCTCACTCCATCACCCAGGCTGGAGTACAGTGACGTGATCTCAGCTCACGGCAACCTCCACCTCCTGGGTTCAAGCAATCCTCCTGCCTCAGCCTCCCGAGTAGCTGGGATTACAGGTGTGCGGCCACCATGCCTGGCTAATTTTTATATTTTTAGTAGAGACAGGGTTTCACAATGTTGACAGGGTGGTCTCGAACTCCTGACCTCAAATGATCATCCCTCCTCAGTTTTTCAAAGTCCTGGGGTTACAGACATGAATGAGCCACTTCACCTGGCCTCATTGATTCTTACCATTAACTTTTCAAAATTTTTGCAAATAGCTTTTTTTTGTATGTGTGTGACAGGGTCTCACTCTGTCACCCAGGCTGGAGTGCAGTGGCACAATCATAACTCACTGCAGCCTTGAACTCCTGGACTCAGGTAAACCTCCTGCCTTAGCCTCCTGAGTATTTGGGATTGCAAAGACCTTTATTTTTGTTTCTATAAATAAAAACTGCTTGTCAAAATATTCTTACACTATAGACCAATAGGAAGGCCTCTGGTAAACAGATATCTTACACCAAATAACCGTACATTTTTAGTCTGCCGTCATAGCTCTTCCTGAAAAACATATCCCATGTTATCTCCACGTCCTTCATAGGATATTTTCCTGCATGATTGTAATGCTATTATGACACTTAGTGGTCAGGAAGTCTTTGATGTCATCTAATGCCCTGTCCACAGTCACACTTCCCCATTGCCTGAAAAATAAAGTCTCTTTTCATGTCTTTTGTTCAAATAGAATCCAAACACAGGCCACACGTATCTGGGTGTTGTGCTTCTTAATTCTCTTGTAACCTAGAGCGCCCCCTCTTCCCTTCTCGCGGTTGGCTTGCGGCACGAGCTGGTTTCTGTCCTGCAGAGGGACCCTCCCTCCCGATCTGGGCTGCCTTGAGGTGTTGTTTAATGCGACCCTCCATCCCCTTCCTCCTTGAAACTGGAAGTCAGTCGTAAAGCGAATGCGCAGGATTCAGGCTCAACTTTTTTGGCAGGAAGTCTCAGGGGTGGGGCTGGGAGCATCCTCACACATTCCTTTTGGAGGCACAGGGCATCTGGCTGCTCCTGTCTTGGGGATACAGTCAACAGCCCCTCCAAGGTAACTGTCCCCATCGACATTCTAGGTGTTGATCAGTGCCTGTGGCTCAGCGGTCAGCAAGGATCTACTCCTCAGCTCACTGCTGAGGGGAGCAGTGATTCCCTCATTCACTCATTCATTGAAGCTTTCCAGTTGAAAATAAATCTGGAAAGAGGAAGGAAGCTGGCGTTCATGGAGCACCTTCTAATGTGCTGGCACAGTGCCTGACGCTGTGTTGTACTGTTTTATTGATCTATTTAATTTATTTATTTTATCTATTTATTTTAGACAGAGTCTTGCTGTTGCCCAGGCTGGAGTGCAATGGCATGATCTCGGCTCACTGCAAACTTCCCCTCCTGGGTTCAAGTGATTCTCTTGCCTCAGTCTCCTGAATAGCTGGGATTACAGGCATGCGCCACCACACCCAGCTAAGTTTTGTATTTTTTTATAGAGACGGGGTTTCACCATGTTGACCAGGCTGGTCTTGAACTCCTGACCTCAGGTGATCTGCCCGCCTCAGCCTCCCAAAGTGCTGAGATTACAGGCATGAGCCACCACACTCGACTGTTATATTTAATCTTCAGAACAGCAGGGCGAAGAAGAAAATGGGTAGGATCACGACAGAAATCACAGCCAGTAACTCGGGCTGCCTCATCTCATCAATCCCATCCTCGTGGCAGACTGTGCGTTAGATCCCTAATTTACCAGTGAGGAAAGCAAGGCTGGGATCCGGTACTGACAGGCCCCAGGGCACAGAGCCAGCAGGAGGCGGGGCAGGGTTAGCACAGGTTTCTTCCCTTCTGCAGCGAGCCTCCTTTCTGCACAGGCACCGACGGGGTCACGACCCGCCTCAGTGCTGGCTGCCCTCAGGCAGTGCCGACCCAGACGGGGTCTGTGTGTACACAGGCCCACCTAACACTGCCTTTAGAACTTTCTGCTATGAAGACACAAGCATGACCAACAGTGTCCTTGGCTCAGCAGATGTTTCTTCGCCACGGTCCCAGCTCTTCACAGTCCCCGTGCAACACCGAAGCAGTCCGGGAGCCTGTGGGCTGTCCAGCAGAGGTGGCCGGGGGAGGCCAGCGGAGGCTCACCTGGAGATGGAGCTGTGGGGAACACTGGCATGGAGATGGGGCTGGGGCCAGGCAGTGCAGGAGATGACCAGGCTGTGTAGAGGGTGAGCAGCCGTGGGGCTTCGAGACAGCCCAGAATAATGGAGGAGGAATCATCTAACTCCTAGGAAGGCGTCTTAGTCCATTCAGGCTTCTACTGCAGAATGTCACAGACTGGAGAGCTTAACAACAACAGAAATTGATTTCTCAGAGTTCTGGAGGCTGGGAAGTCCAAGGTCACGGCACCAGCAGCTTTGGTGTCTGGCAAGGGCCTGCTTTCTGGTTCTCTAGCTGTGTCTTCTCATGGCAGAAGGGGCAAGGGCCCCCTTTTATATGGGCAATAGTTCCATTCATGAGGGCTTCATCCTGTGACCTAATAACCTCACAAAGGCCCTCCTAATACCATCACTTTGGGGCTTATGCCTCAATATATGAATTGACGGGGCTGGGGACAAACATTCAGTCTACAGCAGAAGGGAGCTGCAGAATCTTACCCAGAACCTCCACATCATCAGCGGGAGAAAGACAGCACCAGCCGTCTCCACACTGGGGAACACACAGCCATCAAAAGAACAGCAGGGGCCACACACTGGTGGAGGTTTCACTCAGCAAGACAGGCGGACAGTGAAAAAGTCAAAGGGGCAGAACCATGTGGACACGTTGTGCGCTTTGTGACACACTCATAGAAACTCTTTTTTTTTTTTCTTAAGACGGAGTCTCACTCTTGTCACCCAGGCTGGAGTACAGTGGCGTGATCCTGGCTCACTGCAACCTCTGCCTCCCGGGTTCAAGTGATTCTCCTGCCTCAGCCTCCCGAGTAGCTGGGATTACAGGTGTGTGCCACCACACCCAGCTAATTTTTGTATTTTTAGTAGAGACAGGGTTTCACCATGTTGGCCAGGCTGGTCTGGAACTCCTGACCTCAGGTGAACTGCCCACCTTGGCCTCCCAAAGTGCTGGGATTACAGGCATGAGCCACCATGCCCAGCCAATAGAAACTCTTTTCTTTTTTTCTTTTTTTTTTTT
Source organism: Homo sapiens (assembly GCF_000001405.40). NCBI lineage: Eukaryota > Metazoa > Chordata > Mammalia > Primates > Hominidae > Homo > Homo sapiens. The sequence goes on along the minus strand of NC_000005.10, from coordinate 180,438,199 downwards.
TTTTGAGACAGAGTCTTGCTCTGTTGCCCAGGCTGGAATGCAGTGGCGCAATCTGGGCTCACTGCAAGCTCCGCCTCCCGGGTTCACACCATTCTCCTGCCTCAGCCTCCTGAGTAACAGGGACTACAGGCACCCGCCACCACGCCCGGCTAATTTTTTGTATTTTTAGTAGAGACGGGGTTTCACCGTGTTAACCAGGATGGTCTCAATCTCCTGACCTCGTGATCCGCCCGCCTCAGCCTCCCAAAGTGCTGGGATTACAGACGTGAGCCACCTCGCCCGGCCAGAAACTCTTTATCCACGCTGCAGGTGGGTGTAAACACAGGAAAGGCCTGCAAGGAGAAGGAGCAAAAGCTGAAACCGCTGTTACCTGGGACCTAGGATTTGGGCGGGGAATGGGGGCAGTTAATTGTACATATATATAAGAAAAGTGAATTCATGGATTACTTGGATATTTAAAACTAATCTAACAATACAAATGGAAAGTGGTTCTGAGGCTACGTGGAAGCTGCCAAGGCTCAGGGACACTTCCAGGCACAGAAGGAAGGCAGCACAGACAGGCCCCTGGGAGCCAGGTCAAGGACTGAAGAATACAGGAGGAGACACATGGGTACTCCCAGCACCACGCCAGGCCCACAGCGGGCCCTTATGCACAGCAGCTGCGGCCACCGTCCTGGGCAGTCTCTCCCTGGCCTGCCTTTATTTTATTTTAATTTTTTGTTGTTTAGAAATGGGATCTTGCCATGTTGCCCAGGCTGGTCTTGAACTCCTGGGTTCAAGTGATCTTCCCATCTTGGTCTCCCAAAGTGCTGGGATTACAGGTGTGAGCCGCCGGGCCCGGCCTCTCTGGTTTTCCTTTGACTGATGGGGGTGGGGACAAGCTGGGACCTTGGGGGTCAGACTCCAGCTAGCTGTGTGCTGAGGCTCCAACCCTGCTGTGTGGAGCCCTAAAGTCCTGAGCCTGAGGCTGCCCTGGGCTGGTGCTGCTGGACCGTTGGCTGCCCTGGGCTGGTGCTGCTGGACCGTTGGCTGCCCTGGGCTGGTGCTGCTGGACCATTGGCTGACCCAGCAGTCTTGGTCATCCAGGCCTGGTCTGTGGTCACTCCCCCAGCTCCAAAGCCCCTCGAGGTCGCAGCTGGAGGGAGAGGAGGTGCTACCGTCCTTAACCCAGCACCATCATGTTGGTCAGAACACTCAGACCTGGCCAAGCGGATGGAAGGGGCCTTTGCTGGGGGTAAAGCCTGGGGAAAACTTTCTTCCCTCAAAAGATGGAGAAGCTCCCAAGAGCCTCCTTCCTGCTGCCTTGTGCTCTAGACCCTGGGCTCTGGAAGGCCAGGGCAAGGCCAACTAACCAGATAAAGCTGAAAAGCAAAGGAGAATAGAGAGCCCAGGCCCTCAGCACATCGCCGGGCAGCTAAGCAGCCCTGATACTGAAATCCTGTTCCGCTCACTGCTGCTGTTTGGCATGTAGGGTGGGCATTCTGTTCCTCACAGCCAAACTGCCCTGCGGAGAAGCAGTGCAAACTGAAACCCTGCCAGCAACATGCCAGCGAGCCGCCTCCTGCAGCCTTTCCTGGAGAAGGGCTCTGTCCAAAACCCTTGATGAGAGAGCGAGGAGGATGCGATCTTGGGAAAAGGTCAAATGCCCTCACTCGAGCCCCTGGCCTGCCTCCCTAGCTGTGAAGCTGTGTGGACACTGCGGCGGATGCCCTGCCCAGAGCCGAGGCCTGCCCTAAGGTCACACGACTCTCCCCGTCTCTCTTCAGGGCAGGCTGGGCCTGGGGTGCGGGGGAATTGATTCCCCTGGGTAGAAGTGAGTGAGGAAATACCCCATCTTCTTCCACTCAGAGGGACCCCTTGAGGCTTGAGCCTCCGATTCTCTAGAAGACCCCAGGGGACAGAGCCTCGGTTGCTCCAGGGTAACTGCTCCTCGACACATTCTCATGGCCTCCCCTCCCTTCCCTGCCTCCCTTCCCCACACCCCACAGTGTTTCCTGGGAACCTGCACCCAAATAACCTACTTTGAGCACCCTGTTAACTACCTGCACATACGTCCTCGTTTCAGAGTCTGTTTCTGGGGATCCCAACTGAGACAGCAACCTCAAGCAAGCGGCACCCCCATTCGTGCCTCAGTTTCCCCATCTGTAAAGGGGGGATAATCGTGAGGGCTGGTGCCCAAGTGCCAATGCCTCCTGCTTCAGGTCACGGCACCCCACTCATCTGGGGGCTCGCCATGCCCCATGCTCAGTCTTAGTGGCACTTTCCATGCTGGTGCCCAGGCCTCCCTCGGCCCAGAGGAGCAAGCCCCAGGCAAGGCCAACTAGGGCAGCCCACCTGGGCTGTGAGCCCTGAAAGGTGTGCAGTGAGGACAGACAGACGGCTCAGTGCCCTGGCGAGGCTGCCCATGGTGCTCCCCTGCTCACCTCTCAGCCCCCACTCCAGCGGGTCTGGCTTCTGCTCGGGCCGGCCCTGGTCTCAAGCCTTCCTGCCCATTCCATAGGCTGCCCCTTGGCCTTCCATCACCCTGTCCATGCAAGCAAGCCAGGCTCCTGTGGATGGAAACAAATCCTGGCCCCCACTTCCTTTTTCCCCAGCTCTCTGCATTTCTAGGGGTCTCCAGGAGCATCTTCCATGTGTTTGATATAATGTGTGTGGCACCCTTGTCTCCTGCCAGTGGGGGGCATTGCCATGTTGCAACCCCGTTTCCATTTCCAGTGCCTTCACTGGGCACCTGAAACCTGGGAAGCACGCACTTTACCCCAGAACATGTGTTTTGAAGACAGGGACTCGACCTCTGCCTCTCCCCACAGGGACCCAGAAACCAGCCCCAAGTGGGGTTCCCTGCACCCCCTGCATCCTCCACCCCCTTCGTTTCTGTCCTCCCACTCCAAGCATCTACCCTCACATCAACCACACACACACCCAAAAATGCAAATAAGGGCTGGGCACAGTGGCTCACACCTGTAATCCTAGCACACTGGGAGTCCGAGGCGGATGGATTGCCTGAGTTCAGGAGTTTGAGACCAGCCTGGGAAACATGGTGAAACCCAGTCTCTACTAAAATTAAAAAAAAAAAAAAAAAAATTAGCCTGTAGTCCCAGCTACTCGTGAGGCTGAGGCAGGAGAATTGCTTGAACCCGGGAGGCGGAAGTTGCAGTTAGCCAAGCCAAGATCACACCACTGCACTCCAGCCTGGGCGACAGAGCGAGACTCCGTCTCCAAAAAAAAAAAAAAAAAAGCAAATAAGACAGGAACCCACGCAAGGCAGTGTACAGGGTCAGTGCACAGGGCTACTGACCCAGCGATTTGGCTGTATCCTAGTCTGGGCTCATCCTACATGACCAACGAGGTGCACAATTGAACCAACACAGTGGGGCACATGGAAGTTGCTGGACACATGACTGCCATCAAGAGCCACATCTCCAAGGACTCTACCTGCTCCCACCAGCACCTTCCAGTACCCCCAGGTCCCCACCCATCAATTAATGTAGCACAAGAGGTGGCAAAGTCATGGAAAAAAGAGATTGCCTCAATAGGGATAAACCAAGTAATTTGTGGGACAGCTATTTCATGGTAGACTAGGCAGCCTGGAAGAATGGATTAAATGCGAACAAACACACTTGGAGGAATTCCACAGTGAACTTCCAACCAGGATGCAGAGAAGTAAACATAATATCCCAAAACAAAACCGAGAAGAACTGCATGCGTGTGTGAATGGTTACATGAATGCGGAGAGAAAGGTAGGGAAGTTATACACCACGAGGTTAGAAATAGATGCCTGGAAGAGCTGGGCACGGTGGCTCACGCCTGTATCCCAGTACTTTGGGAGGCCGAGGCGGGTGGATCACCAGATTAGGAGTTTGAGACCAGCCTGGCCAACACGGTGAAACTCCATCACTACTAAAAATAAAAAAATTGACTGTGCACGGTGGCTCACACCTGTAATCCCAGCACTTTGGGAGGCCGAGGCGGGCAGATCATGAGTTCAGGAGATCGAGACCATCCTGGCTAACACAGTCAAAACTCCACCTCTACTAAAAATACAAAAAATTAACTGGGCGTGGTGGCAGGCGCCTGTAGTCCCAGCTACTCGGGAGGCTAAGGCAAAATCATTGCTTGAATCTGGGAGGTGGAAGTTGCAGTAAGCCAAGACTGTGCGACTGCACTCCGGCCTGGGCAACAGAGTGTGAGTCTGTCTCAAAAAAAAAAAAAAAAAAAGAGAAAGCGTGGAGGAGAGGAAAGAAGGGAGAAAGCTGCCAGGACCACATAGCTAGGAAGTAGGGAAGATGTTATTCAAACCCACATCCAAAGCCACTTTGGCAGAATAATGGATCTCCTTCTCTGTACGTCCTGCTCCCTATCCCCTGGTCCAGGAAGCTCTCTGTCCTCAGGGCCCTTGGAGTAAGATGCTTCCTGGAGAAACGCCTGGAGGAAGGCACAGACCAGAGCTGGTATTTGCTGGGAGGCCTTAGGGATCCATGGCTTGGACCATCCATCGCTCTTACAGGAAAAGCTTTTAGGTACAGAGACAGGGTGTACTGAATTCCAAAGGAGAGCGTGAGCTCTTGGTTAGCACAATGCTGTGACAGCCCAGTTCCCTGGGCAGGTGTGGGGCCTCCCAGAGCTGGAGCAAGTAAAGCGGAGACAAGCGTGTCTGAGCCTCTGAAAAAGGACCCTGCTTTCAACTCACTCCTCCCACCTCCCAAGGGTGAGACAGGGCCATGAGCCAGAAAGGCTCAAGGGACCCAGAATAGAGGGTATCTTCCCAGGGAGCCGCAGGAGCCAGGACCCCACTAAAAACACCAGGTCTAGCACCAGAGGCTAAAGGGCAGCAGAGCCCTGGGCCCACGCAAGGAGGGTGGACCTAAGTGCAGCCTCTAGAGAGACATGTGGGCTCCCACCCACAGCTCATGGGTGCCATGAGGGAGGCAGAAGCAAGCTAGCTGAAGAAACCCCAAAGACACAGAGTGAAGCAGGAAGTGGCAGGAGTGTGGGCATCTCTGTGTGTCCCGGATTCGTGGGTGCTTGGTCTCCCTGACTTCAAGAATGAAGCCACAAACTTTCGCAGTGAGTGTTACAATTCTTAAAGATGGTGCGTCCTGAGTTTGTTACTTTAGATGTTCAGACATGCCCACAGTTTCTTTCTTCTGGTGGGTTCGTGATCTCACTGACTTCAGAAGTGAAGCTGCAGACCTTCACAGTTAGTGTCACACCTCATAAAGGCAACTTGGACCCAATAAATTAGAAACAACATTTATCGCAAAGAGCTAACAAACTAACCTTCTCACAAGGTGGAAAAGGACCCCAGTGCTGGCTTACGCAGCCTGCTGCTTTTATTCCCTTATCTGGCCCCACCCACATCCTGCTGATTGGCCCATTTTACAGAGAGCTGATTGGTCCATTTTACAGAGAGCTGATTGGTCTGTTTTACAGAGAACTGATTGGTCCGTTTTGACAGGGTGCTGATTGGTGCGTTTACAATCCCTGAGCTAGACACAGAGTGCTGATTGGTGCATTTACAATCCTCTAGCTAGACATAAAAGTTTTCCAAGACCCGCCCCCCAGCCCAACACGACTCAGAAGTCCAGCTGGTTTTACCTAGTGGATTCTGTGCCAGGGCTGCTAGCAGCCAGTCCCGGGGCGCACGCCTACACTTCTCAGTCCTTGGGTGGTCGACGGGACCAGGCGCCGCGGAGCAGGGGGCGCACCTGTAGGGGAGAGGCTCACTGTGCGGGAGCCCACGTCGGGAGGGGTAGGGGCTAGGGGGTGGCAGGTTGCAGGTGCCGAGCCCTGCCACATGGGGAGGCTGCTGAGGCCCGGCAAGAATTCCAGTGTGCTGCAGGCAGGCCAGCAGCGTTGGGGGACCACGCACCCTCCACAGCTGCTGGCCCAGGTGCTAAGCCCCTCACCACCCGGGGCTGGTGGCCCTGGCTGGCCGCTCCGAGTGCAGGGCTCGCCGAGCCCACGCCCACCCAGAACTCGCGCTGTCCCGCGAGAGCGCACAGCCCCTGTTCGCGCCTCCCGCCAGCGCTTCTCCCTCTACACCTCCACGCAAGCAGAGGGAGCCGGCTCCGGCCTCGCCAGCCCAGAGAGGGGCTCCTGCAGTGCAGAGGCGGGCTGAAGGGCTCCTCAAGCACGGCCCGAGTGGACGCCCAGGCCAAGGAGGCGCCGAGAGAGCGAGGGCTGCTAGCACGTTGTCACCTCTCACCAGCAGCTTCAGGAGACACCAAGACTGGAGAGCCACCTACAGTGCTGCTGCAGCAGGTGCCTTCCATCTAGGTCCCCTCCCCACTGGCCCTGTCACCTCTTGAGAATCTAGAACTCAGACATCACCCTGGAAGAAGAACAGGGAGAAGAACCGTGACAGGACTGATACCTAAACACCACATAGTTGAGAAATAAAATTGGACAGGACTCACCCAGAGTGGCTCAACAAGGATTCTTCAGCACACATCTTGGGCCAGAGACAGTGGAGTCATGGCTTTTGCACATCTGGTTTGAGGACTGTGGGGTTCGTGCCCTGCCTTGCCACTTGCTGACATCTGGAGCTCCACAGTTGGCAAGGTCCAGGTTTGTCTTATTCCCCACGCTGTCCTGCCCAGTGTTGTGCACGTTATAGAAGCCAAGTAAGGACTTATTTAATGGCTATATAATTGGAGAAGAGTGTCCAGCATCTAGCCTTGGAGAAGGCTGGCCGTAATCACAATTAGAATACAAAATATTGGCCGGGCACGGTGGCTCAAACCTGTAATCCCAGCAGTTTGGGAGGCCGAGGTGGGGGGATCACCATCCTGGCCAGCACAGTGAAACCCTGTCTCTACTGAAAATACGAAAAGTAGCCAGGTGTGGTGACACGCGCCTGTAGTCCCAGCTACTCAGGAGGCTGAGGCAGAAGAATTGCTGGAACCCAGGAGGCGGAGCTTGCGGTGAGCCGAGATTACGCCACTGCACTCCAGCTTGGTGACAGAGTGAAAATCTATCTCAAAAAAAAAAAAAATACAAAACAGTTTAGCCACCCCCCCAAAACTCCCTCATGCCATCCGTTTGTAGAAAATCCAGCCCCTTGACCAGGCGAGGTGGCTCACACCTGTAATCCCAGCACTTCGGGAGACCGGGGTGGGTGGATCACCTGAAGTTAGGAGTTTGAGACCAGCCTGGCCAACATGGTGAAACCCCATCTCTACTAAAAGTACAAAAATTTAGCCTGCTGTGGTGGCACATGCCTGTAGCCCCAGCTACTCGGGAGGCAGAGGCATGAGAATCGCTTGAACCTGGGAGCTGGAGCTTGCAGTGAGCCGAGATGGCGCCATTGCACTCTAGCCTGGGCAACAGAGTGAGACTCCGTCTCAAAAAGAAAAAAGAAAATAAAACCCAGCCCCTATATTTAACTCCTGGTTACCACTGATAGATTTATCTTTTCGGGAATGTCCTATAACTTCTTGAGTGTAACCCCAGCAGAGGGCCTCAGACATTCGTGCTAGTTACTACACGTATCAATAGCTCATTGTTCTTAGCACTGGGAGTCTTTCATGCTATGAATGAACCACAGTTTATCCATTCACTTGTGTTATTTCTGATTTTTTGGCAATTATGAATTGAGCTGCTGTAAACATTGGTGTAAGATTTTTGTGTGGCCGGGCACGGTGGCTCACGCCTGTAATCCCAGCACTTTGGGAGGCCGAGGCAGGCCGATCACGAGGTCAGGAGATCGAGACCATCCTAGCTAACACGTGAAACCCCGTCTCTACTAAAAATACAAAAAATTAGCCGGGCGTGGTGGCGGGCACCTGTAGTCCCAGCTACTCGGGAGGCCGAGGCAGGAGAATGGTGTGAACCCGGGAGGCGGAGCTTGCCGTCAGCCAAGATAGCGCCACTGCATTCCCGCAGCGAAAGAGCGAGACTCTGTCTCAAAAAAAAAAAAAAAAAAAAAAAAAAAGGATTTTTGTGTGAATATATGTTTTCATTTCTCTCAGAAACACCTGAGTGGGACTCCAGAGTCATATATAAGCACATGTTTAGCTCTGTAAGAAGCTGCTAAGCTTACCCAAAGTGGCTGCACCATTTTTGTGCTCCCACCAGCAATGGATGTGAGTTCCAGTTACTTTGTATCCAGCACTTGGTATTGACAGAGTTTATTTGAGGGTTTGCTTAATTCTAGTCATTCTCAAAGGTATGTGATGGTATCTCATTTTGGTTTTAATTTGCAGAGCAAAACGTTTCCATTTTGGTGAAGTCATATTTATCAAGTTCTACTTTTTTTTTTTTGAGACGGAGTCTCTGTCACCCAGGCTGTAGTGCAGTGGTGCAATCTTGGCTCACTGCCACTTCCACCTCCCCAGTTCAAGCGATTCTCCCACTTCAGCCTCCTGAGTAGCAGGGATTACAGGCGCCCGCCACCACAACCGGCTAATTTTTGCATTTTTAGTAGAGACGGGATTTCACCATGTTGGCCAGGCTGGTCTTGAACTCCTGACCTCAAGTGATCCACCCGCCTCAGCCTCCCCAAAGTGCTAAGATTACAGACATGAGCCACCACACCTGGCTCTATTAAGTTTTACTTTTGTGAGTCATGCTTTTGGTATTGTATCTGAGAACTCTGCCTAAGCTAAGATCATGAAGGTTTTCTCCTACACTTTCAAGTTTTCTAAGTTTTCATTTTATATTTAGATATATGATCCATTTTGACTTAATTTTTGTATAATGTGAGGTTTGGGTTGAGGTTCATTATTATTGCAACAAAACTGTTGAAAATATTATCCATTCTTTGTCAAATCGTCTTTGCACCTTTCTAAAAGATAAATTGCCCGTAATTGTGTGGGTCAATTTCTAGACTTTCTATTCCTTTGAATTCATCTATGTGTCTGCCCCCTCTCCAGTACCGTGCTGTCTTGATGACTGTAACTTTATAAGGTCTTAAAATCAAATAGCGTGGAGTTCCACTTGTGGCCAAGATCGATAAACAGGGACCGGATTGACCCTCCTTCCTAAAACAGCAGCAACAAATAAACAAAACCAGGCAAAATATGTGAAACAATGGTTTTCAAGACACAGGACAATGTAGGACAGTAATCCCTGACAGACGGGAAGCAAACAAGATGTTCCCTGCAATTACCCCAGCTTGCCTTGAGGTGGTTTCCAGGCTGTGGAGCAGAAAAGGAAACTGAGGCAGATTCAGTAGCCTTCTTGAGGAGATGTGGTTGAGAGAGAACAAGGCCACTAAAGGTCACAGGACAGAATTCCAGGGAGGAGAGAGTTGTGCAGAGAGAGAACTGGGGAGATTTGTACAGGGCCCTCCTGAGTAAGCACCAGAGCACACGCATATGCGGAAACTACCCATGGCCAGGGCAAGAACCTCATGGAAGGGTTACAGGGAGCACGGCCTGGACACAGCCTGAAACCCAAACAGGGCTGGGAACACTGTTCTCACCGGCTTACAGGAAAAACTCATAATTCACGGGCTATTGGGTACAGTGTTCAGGGAGGTCTTGCCTTAATAATAGGGAATAATTACCCGTAGACGGCGTTGCTTTGGACCTGCATAACAAGTAATAAAAGCAAGATCTGAAAGGATCAAGTTGTTTCCAAGTAACTTAACTGTGTCTTAGAACAAAGTTCAAGAATTCCCACAGAATACAAAAATATTCAGCACCCAACAAGATGAAATTCACAGTATCTAGCATCCAGTCAAAGATCACCTGGTGTACAAAGAAGCCAGAACGCATGCCTCCTAATGGGAAGAATCATCAAATCAAGACCTACCCAGAACGACGTATACGTTAGAATTAGCAGACAAGAGCGTTAAGACAGTTACTGTGCCCCGATTACAACACTCAGTACGTTAGTTATGGACATAGCACTTCCAGAGATGAAAATTACAATGCCGAATATGAAAAATACACTGAGTGGGATTAAGGGCAGGTCAAACATTTTAGGAGAAAAAGGGTAGCGAATTTGAAAAACAAGGAGAAAAAAGTAAATTAAAAAATGAAAAGAGCATAAATGATTTGTAGGAAGGCTTCAGACAACATAATACGTGTGTAATTTGGAATCATCAAGGGAGAGGAGAGAGAAGAAAAGGAACAGAAAAAATACTTGAAGAAATAATGGTCCTGAGTTTCCCAAAGTTAATTAAAAATAAATTCACAGATGCAGGAAGCTCAACAAAGCTCAAGCAAAAGAAACCAGAAAAAAATCACATCATAATCACAAAGCTTCAAACCAGTAATAAAGAGAAAAACTTCAAAGCAGCCCCAGAAATCCTTCTATACAGAGGAACAAAGATAAAGCTGACACTAGATTTCTTGTCTGGAGAAGACAGTGGAATAGTGAAAATATTTTTCAAAAATAAAAGTGATGGGCAGGCATGGTGGCTCATGCCTGTAAACCCAATAGTTTGGAGGTGAAGGTGGGAGGATCTTTTGAGGCCAGGGGTTCAAGACCAGCCTGGGCGACATAGCAAGCTCTTATCTCTACAAAAAGATTTAAAAAATAGCCGGGCACGCTGGTGCACACCTACAGTCCTAGCTACTCAGGAGGCTGAAGCAGGAGGATCCCTTGAGCCCAGGAGTTTGAGGCTGCAGTGAGCTATGATTGCACCACTGCACTCCAGCCTGGGCAACATTGAACAACAGAGGCCAGATGCGGTGGCTCACACCTGCAATCCTAGCACTTTGGGAGGTCAAGGTGGGTGGATTGCCTGAGTCCAGGAGTTCAAGACGAGCCTGGGCAACATGGCGAAACCCCATCTCTACTAAAAATAAAGTATCCGGGCATGGTGGTGTGTGCTTGCCGTCCCAGCTATCTGGGGTCTAAGGTGGGAGAATGGCTTGAGCCCAGGAGGTCAAGGCTGCAGTGAGCCATGATCATTCCACTGTACTCCAGCCTGGGCGACAGAGCAAGACCTCATCTAAAAAAAAAAAATGAGCAACAGAAAGATAGCTCTGAAATCCTCAAATATTTCAAAACTCAGTTAAACAATTCTAAATAACCCATGGGTGAAAGAATAAATCAAAAGTAAATTAGCCAAATTAGTAATTATTCTGAATGGAATGAAAGTGAAAAAACAAAATATCAGAACTTGTGGGATGCAGGTGAAGTGCGAAATTTATGGCACTATATGCTTCTATTAGAAAAGAGAAAATATCTCAAATCGATGGCTTCAGATTATACCATAAGAAACAAGAAAAAGGAGAACAAATACAATGCAAAGCAAGCAGAAGAAATATAAGAATCAAAGAGGAGCCGGGCGCGGTGGCTCACGCCTGTAATCCCAGCACTTTGGAAGGCCGAGGCGGGCGGATCACGAGGTCAGGAGATCGAGACCATCCTGGCTAACACGGTGAAACCCCATCTCTACTAAAAATACAAAAAATTAGCCAGGCGTGGTGGCGGGCGCCTGTAGTCCCAGCTACTCGGGAGGCTGAGGCAGGAGAATGGTGTGAACCTGGGAGGCGGAGCTTGCGGTGAGCCGGGATCGCTACACTGCACTCCAGCCTGGGAGACAGTGCGAGACTCAGTTTCAAAATATATATAAAATATATATATATAATGTATACATTATATATAATATATACATTATATGTGATATATACATTATATATGTATACATTATATATAATATATATATTATATATATATATATGCCGGGCATAGTGGCTCACGCTTGTAATCCCAGGGCTTTGGGAGGCTGAGGCGGGTGGATCACGAGGTCAGGAGATCGAGACCATCCTGGCTAACAGGGTGAAACCCCGTCTCTACTAAAAAATACAAAAAATTAGCCGGGCGTCATAGCGGGCGCCTGTAGTCCCAGCTACTCTGGAGGCTGAGGCAGGAGAATGGCGTGAGCCCTGGAGGCAGAGCTTGCAGAGATAGCACCACTGCACTCCAGCCTGGGCGACAGAGCGAGACTCCGTCTCAAAAAAAAAAAAAAAAAAAAAAGAATCAAAGAGGAAATCAATAAAATTGAAAACAAAAAAAAGAGAGACCTATAAAATTGGTAAACTTCTAGCCAAATTGATTAGAATGAAAGAGAGGATACAAATTCAAGAGCAGAAATGAAAGAGATTATAGTACTACAAATTCCACAAGTATTTGAAGGATGATGAAGTAATATTATAAAACAATCGAGACCTGGACTGGCATGGTGGCTCACACCTGTAATCCCAGCACTTTGGGAGGCCGAGGCGGGCGGATCACGAGGTCAGGAGATCGAGACCATCCTGGCTAACACAGTGAAACCCCGTCTCTACTAAAAATACAAAAAATTAGCCGGGCGTGGTGGCGGGCACCTGTAATCCCAGCTACTTGGAGAGGCTGAGGCAGGAGAATGGTGTGAACCTGGGAGGCGGAGCTTGCGGTGAGCCGAGATCGCTACACTGCACTCCAGCCTGGGAGACAGCGCGAGACTCAGTTTCAAAATATATATAAAATATATATAATATTTACATTATAAGTAATATATACATTATATATAATATGTACATTATATATTATATATTATATATATTATATATATATATAGGCCGGGCACAGTGGCTCACGCTTGTAATCCCAGGGCTTTGGGAGGCTGAGGTGGGTGGATCACCTGAGGTCAGGAGGTCAAAAGCAGCCTGGCCAACAGTGAAACCTCGTCTCTACTAAAAATACAAAAATTAGCCAGGCGTGGTGGTCGGTGCCTGTAATCCCAGCTACTCGGGAGGCTGAGACAGGAGAATTGCTTGAACCTGGGCGGTGGAGGTTGCAGTGAGCTGAGATAGCACCATTACACTCCCACCTGGGCAACAGAGTGAGACTCCATCTCAAAAAAAAAAAAAAAAAGAAAAAAAAAAAAGAAAGAAAGAAAGACATATTGTCTATAAATTTGAAAGCCTAGATTAAATGCACAAATTCCTTGGAAGCCACAGACATTAAAAATGACTCAAGAAGAAACAGATAACTTAAGTAGCACTTTGTTTATTAAAGAAATTAAATTCGTAGTTACAAACTCACCCACAAAGAAAACTCCAGGCCCTGGTGCTTTCACTGGGGAATTCTACCAAACATTTAAATAAGAAATAATAAC